>NC_000007.14:117355263-117658294 GCF_000001405.40 Homo sapiens | reverse complement strand
ACAACAATCCTACCAATTTATTGGGCCACAATGCCAGAAGTCTTTTTTTTTTCTCTTGGGATTCAGTTTCTTTTGAAATTCTCTTTGGTCTACACAGCTGGTAATTTCAGTTTGGCACCAATCTTGGAGAGAAGCTGTCTGGGCCTAAGCTGTTTTGGGATAGGTAAATTAAACTATCCAAGTTCTAGATTTTAGAAACTCTCTTCCCTTCCCTTGGACTTGCTTTAAATTCCTCCATCAAATGATAGGCAGACTGCCATGGTAAAGGTGTGGACCCAGGAAATAAGGAAAAAGGAGGCTCTCTGGACCAGCTTTTGTTCTAAGCCTTCCAGCTAGTAACTAGGTACAAGTCATGGCTTCATGAGATACAGTCCAGATCAGCAAGGATAAGATTCTACACTGGACATGGAAGCCAAGTCCAAGCTAGAAATAAAGCATTTCTTGGCCTGGAATTATCACTGTATATATTTTTAATTTCCATTTGGGATAATGGGGAATTATGTAGGAGGTGCTGTTGGGATAAGATTCAGGTGTCTGGCTATTTGTCATTACTCTGTTCATTTACCTCTAGAGATACTAGTCATGGCAAGGACAAAGAGAGGACTCAGTGAGATGACATACATCCTGGTTTGCCCCGGAAAGTCCTGCTTTGCACTTTTGTCATAATGTCCTGTCCAGTTTAGTGTTTGACACACCCAAAAATGTCCTGTTTGGACAAATTGTATTATCAGCTGTATTAGACTAAAGCCTAGGCCTTGTGACTTTGAAACCCAAATGCCTTTTCTGCTTCTCTAGGCTGATACTTGCTTGTTTGTTTGTATGCTGCTAGCAGGCTTACTCATCAAAAACCTATCACTACTAATCAAAAAAGCACACTACTACTCAACAAAAACTTAGCACTACTACTCAAAGCACTCATGACATTAAAGTTAGACTAACATCATCATCTTTGTGAATGGTAAATTATAAAAAAGGAGAACAGTAAAAGTATATACCTAAATATGAACTGATGAAATAAAAACCTAAACAGGTAAAAATTTTGCATTGTATTAGTATTTAAAATCATAACCACAGGTTCTAAGATTTTAGATTATATTTATGATCCTGCTTTCCTGTAAATTTTATTTTGATTTGGCAATACTTGCAGATTTTATAAAGGCTAATGTCTTCCCTCCCAAGTTTCCCTCCCATTGCATTGTGTTCCTATAGTGCATTCTCTGAAGTCATATCAAAGATCTTAAAATGTGTCACTTGCAATTTAGTTAATGTTTTCTTTAAAGCGCCTGTGTTTGTTGGGTAATAAGGAAACTTTGATAATGAAAACGGTTAATCTAAGTACATTTTATTAGGGGCATGTTAAGGTTGGGCACTCAATGGGTAAGTGTTTAACACTCACAGGCATTTCAAAGCTCCTGGCAGGGTCCACTGTGAAGGAAGGCAGAAAAGGGAAGAACATTTGGGATAAACAGAAATTGGGCTAAAAGGACCAAAAGCGCTAATAGTGGAATACAGTTGTTCTCTAAGAAGACCTTTGAGGCTCAACATTTTAGGTCCCCTGATCCTATTCTGCCACAATCCAGACCTTTGGACTTAAGTTTAATAAAACAAAATAATTTATGTTCCCTTTTCTTTAATATAATGCTTATTTTTTAAAATTATAAGTTTATAGCTAGAGTATTCTGTTAAAGAAACCCAGAATTTCGAGAATTTCTCCAGCTCTCCTCCCCATCAAATTCCTCTGTATAATGCTCTCAAGTATAATGAACCACCTGTTGGATAAACATAAGGTGTTATTTAGAAAATTTTATTCCATTTTAGTTAATATATTTCCTATATAATGTCCTAATGGCTTCAAAGGATGGCATATGCCTCATCTAGGTCATATGGCATTTTGCCCGGCAGTGCTCACAGCCACATACCCAAAGGCAGACGATTCCTGGCGACTTCGAAAGAAAACTATTGTCATTTGCAGGTGTTCTAGAATGAGCATCACTGTTTTATGCTAAACCTGTTTCCCAGAGAAGTATATCAAGTCAAACCAAAGCCTCCTTCTTGTAGTGGAGAGCTTCAGAACTCAGATAGGGAGTAGATGAGAAGGTGTGGAGAGATGATAATTTATACTGGGAATAATCCCAGTATAGTGGAGTCGCCTAGGTCTCTTCTAATTCATGTTTCATTGACGCAAATTGATTAGGAAAGGACAAAGTAGTGCTACCTATAGGGTTTGCTATAAACTGAAAGCTTCTGTCCCCCTGCCAAAGTCATATGTTGAAATCCTAACTTCAAAGATGCTGGTATTAGGAGGTGGGGCCTTTGGGAGGTGATTTAGGTCATGAGGGCTCTACCCTAAACCCATGATTTGGATTACTGCCCTTATAAAAGACATCCCAGAGAGCTAGCCTGCCCACTCTTCTGCCATGTAACAACACAGTGAGAACACAGCCATCTGTGAGGAAGAAGGCCTTCACCAGACACAAAATCTGCTGGCACCAGATTTTGAACTTCCCAGCCTCCACAACTGTGAAAAATAAATTTTACTGTTGTTTATAAGACATCGTGTAGTAGCCCCAATGGACTAAGACAGAATATTGGTACTGGGATCTGGGTACTGCTGTAACAAATACTCAATGTGGAAGCAGCTTTGGAACAAGGTAATGAGTAGAGGCTGGAAGAGTTTTCAGGTACATGCTAGAAAAAGCCTACATTGCTGTGAATGGACAATTAAAGGCCATTCTGGTGAGGGCTCCAGAGAGGAGGAGAGCTATAGAGAAAGCTACTATCTTCTTACCGAATACCTAAGTGGTCATGAGCAGAATGTTCCCAGAAATATGGACGGTAAAGGCCAATCTGATGGGTTTTCAGATGGAAATGAGGAACATGTTATTGGACAATGGAGGAAAAGCTATCCTTCTTATAAAATGTCAAAGAACTTGGCTGAGCTGTTTGTGTCCTAGTGTTTTGTGGAAGGCAGAACTTGAAAGCAATGAAATTGAATGTTTGACTGAGGAAATATCCAAGCAAAGTTGAAGGAGCAGCTTAGTTACTCTTGACTGCTCATAGTAAAATTCAAGATGAGAAATGACTTTAAAATGGAATTATTGATCAAAAGGGAAGCAGAACTTCAAAATTTGGAAAATTCTCAGCCTATCCATATTGTGAAAGATGAGAAAGCCTGCTCAGGAGAGAATACAAAGGGTGTGGCCAAATTTGATAAGTAAATTACTATGGACTAGCCATCTCAACAGAAACTAGGTGCTATGCATTCAGACAGTGGGGATATTAGTCAGCCACCTAAACAGAAGCCAGAATTTATAGTCCAAGACAATGGAAGAATGACTCCAAAGCCATTTGGAGATCTTCCAAGCTGCCTTTCCCATCATAGTTCAGAGTGCAGAGGCCTGGGGTAGGGAAGAAAGATTTCAAAGGAGGGGCTACAACTGCCCCGTGCCACCTCACATTGCAGACTTCACATTGCCACCTCACACTGCAGTCTTTGCTCCTGTATTAGCACATTTTCACATTGCTGTAAAGAGACTGGGTAATTTATAAAGAAAAGAGGTTTAATTGACTCACAGTTCCACATGGCTGGGAAGGCCTCAGGAAACTTACAATCATGGCGGAAGGGAAAGAGTTATGTCTTACATGGTGACAGGCAAGAAAGAGGGTGCAAGAGCAGGGAAAACTGCCTTATGAAACCATTGGATCTCGTGAGAACTCACTCACTATCACATGAACAGCATGGGAAAACCATGCCCATGATCCAGTCACCTCTCACCAGGTCCCTCCCTCAACACATGGAGATTATGGAAATTATAATTCAAGACAAGATTTGGGTGGGGACACACCCAAACCATATCAGCTCCCCATACTCCATTGCCATACATCTCCACCACCCTAGGTATAGCTCTAGCAGACCCCAGCACTCATGCACTACACTCAGCACAACTGTAGGGGGATGGCTGCCTCCACCTAGATTTCAAGAACCCAGGGAGTCACAGGGCCCAGGTAGAGGCCCAGGGGTGAGGTCACCACATAGAGCCCACATTAGGGCAATGCCCAGTGGAGCTATGAAGGCTGGGCCACCTATGCAATCCCAGACCAGTAGAACCACCAGGCATGCAATTGCACACTCAGGGAGCCATAGGTGTGGGATTGGAGCACAGACCTGCCACAAAGAATGAGACACTCAAATCCATGAGGATAGAGCCTCCACCCCAGTGTGTCCAGAGGTAAGACACCACCCCAGTGAGCCTGGAGGCAAAGCAAAGCAAATTATTCTCAAGCCTTAAAGTTTTAGACTTATAGAGACCTGTCACTCCTTTTTTCTTTTCTATTTCTCTTTTTTGAAATGGGACTGTCTAGCCTGTGCCTGTTTCACCATTTTATTTTGAAAGTACATAATAGGTTTGATTTCACAATTTCATAGTTGGAGAGCAATCTGCCTAAAGAGGAATCACACCTTAAGTCCCACTCTACCTGATTTAGCTGTTTGTGCTGATTTAGCTGATATTTAGATGAAACCTTGGACTTTAGCCTTGTAAGTTGATGCTGGAACAAGTTAAGACTTTGGGGGCTATTGGGATGGAATGAATGTATTTTGCATGTGAAGAAGACATGAACTTTGGAGGTCAGGAGTGAAATGCTATGGTCTAAATATTTGTGTCCCCCCCGCCACCTCCTCAAATTCATATGTTAAAATCCTAACCCCCAAGGTGATAGTATTAGAATGTAGGACATGTGGGAGGTGATTAGGTCATGAGAACAAAGCCCTCATGATGGGATTAGTGCCATTGTAAAAGAGACACCAGAGAGGTCTTGCCCTTTCCATTATGTGAGGACACAGCAAGAAAGCACCATCAATGAACCAGGAAGTATGCTCTCACGAGACAGCAAACCTGCTGGCACCTTGATCTTTGACTTCTCAGCCTCCAAAGATTGCTTATAAGCAGCTCAGTCTTTGGTATTTTATTTTAGCAGCCTAAATGGACCAAGATAGGGCCTGATGGTTGGAGCCATACCAGTGAGGAGAGAAGTAGGCTCAGTCAAAAGTACTTGTCGCGCCAGGTATTTTAGGGTACTCCATTTTGAAGTTGTGCACAGAAATACATGCACACAAAGTGTGTAGAATGATCTTAGCCATATCAACCATTTGTGTTGGTATGAGTTACCTCTTTCAAAATCATTTCAGTTAGGGGTAGGTCCAGTCAAAAGTACCTGTTGCTCCAGGTATGTTAGGGTACTCCATTTTAAAGTTGTGCACACACATACATGCACACAAAGTGTGTAGAATGATGTCAGCTATATCAGCCATTTGTGTTGGTATGAGTTACCCCTTTCAAAATCATTTCAGTTAGCAGCCTTACCTCATCTGCAACTTTCCATATTTCTTGATCACTCCACTGTTCATAGGGATCCAAGTTTTTTCTAAATGTTCCAGAAAAAATAAATACTTTCTATAGCAAAAAAGAAAAGAAGAAGAAAGTATGAATAACTTAAATAACTTTTTATTTTTCCCTTATTGTATTGTAAAATATTTCAAGTAGAAAAATTATTTTAAAATAAGAAACACCCATGTACTTACCATCAAGTTCTCTCAAATTTTAATATTTTATCATGTCTGCTTTGTATCATTCTTTTAAGAAACAAATACTACAGCAATATTTGGAGTCCCTTGTGAACATTTTTCTAATCCCAATGTCTTTAGAATAAAGAAATTGAGATAATTGTTAATTGTAGAATATTAAAAAATTTTATTCCTAGCAATATTCCTTATTATAAGCAAATGTAATATAAAATTAAAAGGTAAAAAAACCCAATAAGTTTATGAGTTATAATTAACCTGTTAGAACAAATTCCTAGTTTGTTAATGTATTTCCTTGGATTTCTCTGATAAGCCTAGCTTCCTAAGGGATTTTAAAATTTCTTTAACTTATGCTTATTCAAATACACATTTATCTCATCTATAAACCAAGGCACAACTCTACTTATCTGATCAGACAGGCACAAGAGAGAGCCTCAACTTAGAAATCAGTGGAAGAGCAGAAGTCAAATAATTGTTTAACTGAATGTATGTTCCTGGTAAGGAATAAAATGACAATCTAATTCCCTGCATGGAGCATTGCACAGCTGTTACCCTGAAACATCTACTTACCAGATCACCGTCTACTTAATTCTGCCTATATTATTTAAAAATGTCTTAAAAGAAAATCACTGTCTCATTGGGGAATGCCGGTGCAATAGCAATAATAATACTTAGTTCTCTGTGCCTGGGGTGAATTGAAAATAATATTTTTGATATTAACATTTAGAATATTTTTTTTACCCTTTTTTTCTTTTGCCTTTGGTTAATAACATCCACTAAGGGGAATTAAGAATGAAATTTCTTGAAGTGTAGTTTTTACCAATTGCCTTGAAATGAGAATATTTAGTGGCCATCTGGTCCACAAGGAACCACACAAGTCAAGTCAATTCCCAATTAATGGTGTCTGTGTCTCTCAGGCAGATGGAGAGTATCCTCAGCAAGGCAGCCAAGTTTACTGAGGATCATGTTAGAAATTTCATACCCCGGGGCATAACTGATGACTTAAAGAAAAAGTTGTTGTCAAATGTCTCAGAAACTCTCTAGAGAGGTCAGCTAGGACCTCCATGCTGATATTTCTCAACCTACATAAAAATCACCTTCCTGAAAGGTACCTACATTGCTTTACAGAGGGAATATAAGAGATGAGTATATGACTCATAGGATCATAAGATATGTGAGGGATATGTTTGTGTATCCACTTCCAAACTTCTATGTAAATAAAAGTAATTTCTGAATAAACTGAAGAGAGTAGACAAAGGTCATTATTGGAGAATTCTGAAAAACTAAAGAGAATTAAACAAGAAGCAGTGCTGAGAACTTGAGTCAGTTCATTATTTAAGCAATTGGATTTATTTAGTATATAAAGTTAAAAAGCCTTGCCAATAGAATTTTTCCATTTGCTTTTTTTATATATTTTTCATTTTATATTGTGGTTCTTTAAATAAAAGGTTTCTAGCATTATTGAGAAGAACAGGAAATGATAATTGTAAGGGTTAACCAAGTATCAAACAATATATTACCTGCTACAGAACAGTTATCTCCTCCAAAAGGGTGGGACACATAGCTCCCATTTATGGCAGACTTATCATGAACCATGTCCTGGGACAGGCTCATTCTATATGTTACCTCTTTCAATCTTCATGTCAACCTCATGAGGTAAATCCTATTACGTACATGAAGAAACAGCAGGTTGGAGAAGGTAAGTGACTTGTCCAAGGTCACTTAGCTAGGAGATAGTAGGAGCTGGAATTCAAACACAGGAGTGTTTGTCTCTAAACCCGTGCTCCTCATCACCACAGCAAAATGGCTCAAATCCTTTGTGGACCATTTTTTCCTTCCTATTTAAAGCTCAGGAAAGATTAAAGGTTGGGCAGCAGCAGCCAAATGGGTACATAAAGAGCCCATCAGTACTCAGCAGCATATTCTTTATTTAAACAATTATCCATCCCTCTAGCCACAGGCTCAGTTCCTGGAGAGATTAGCTTCCTCTTCCTATGCAGGACCTGAGTTGAAGCATTTCATATGGGCTACAGCCTCATTATAACTTTCAAGGAGACTCACACATCCAATGGAAGCACACAATTTGAAACGGAATAATGGCATTATCATGGAGGACTGCGGGAGGATGGTAGGGGGAAGGCCAAAGATGTTACGGCATCAACACTGACACAGAGTTATGAAAGGCAATGTGGCTTGCAAAGATGTTGTAGTAATGCAGTTCTGGCCTGGAAGGTATGTCTACAAACAGGAATCCAGCCTCTTTGTTCTTCCATGTTTTATGAAATGGGGAAATGCTACCTTTCTTCTCAAAGCTACTCTACCCCTAGGCTTTCCCATCTCAGTGTATGGTACCTTCATTTCTTCAATCCAGAAACTTGGGAGTCATTCATGACTTATCTTTCTCCCTGATCTTCCCAAATAAAATTAATTATCAGTCCTATCTGGAGCAGGGCAAGAGCCTCCTAATTGATTTCTTCCCTTTCACTCTTGCATCTCTACCCATCCATTCGCATTCAGCAATCAAAGCAATTCACTACAACAGAAATTAGAACATTTCATTGACCTTTTAACAAACCTTCAAAGGTTTTCCACTACACTCAGGCCTTTAAGATGGCCTACACGACCCTACATGGTTTAGCCCCTCCTACTTCTCTGACTCATTTAGTGCCCTTCTCCATTCTCTTCTCTTTCTTCCTGCCACCACACTAGCTTTCTTTCACTCCCTCAGCTTCTTCACACATTGGATTCCTATTGCTTGGGAATCTCATTCCCTACCTTCTTCCCATGGCCAACTGCTTTCTTTAGGTTTCAAATTAAATATCACTTCCTCAGGGGTATCTTTCCTGATCCTCAATACCAAATAAAATCTCCCAACATATGGTCTCATAATACTCACACTCTGCTTTCATAGCTTACAATGAGTATTAAGATTATATGTGCATTTGTGAGCATTTTGTTTTTAACATCCATATCTCCTACTAGGCCATAACTGCTGCATACCCTGTCCTTAGCAAAAGCTGTGTTCATAATATATGCTCAATAAATTCTTCCTGAATAAATAAATGGACTGATATGAAAATAGGAAGTAAAATACAAAAACATCAAACTCAGAGTTCAGCACATGTTGTTTTTCTTCCTTCTGAAAGAACAGCTATTACAACCTAGTATTTTGTTTTGGCTCAGGAAAAAAAAAATATATATATATATATATATATACACACACACACACTATATATATATGTACAGATATATGCATGTATGTATATGTACATATGTATGTAGGTATATATACATATGTATATATACACACAGATATATGTGTGTATATATAGATATACATGTATATATATATCTAGATGTGTGTAGATATATATATCTCTACTGCCATATATATATACACACACACATATACACACACACACACACACACACACATCCCATGTATAATTCTATTAAAATGTGGCCAAATATTTATCAGTATCACAATCTTTAAAGAAATAATACTAACAACCCATTAAAATTTTGATCGTTCTTTATAATTGCTTGGGAAATGGTGGGTCTTTTACTCATAATACTATAGTCTAATAGTTTATATAAAATATCTATCAAAGTATATTGATATATATTAAATTTAGCTAAAATAGATACACATATATTCAACATTATGAAGAAAGAAAGCTGTTGGTTGAAATTAGACATCCCAAAGTTTTAAGTGTGGTGAATTTGATACCATTCAGAAATTCTGTAGGTCTTTTGTCTACAGTTTACTGTCTAGTGTTAGATACTGAAGTAAGCACTCTAATTGAAAAAAAAAATTTAACTGAACAAACTGGTTCAGTTAGAATTCAATTTCATACAATTAGGTATTTCATTCCTGTATTACAAATAGTACCTGGCACTCTCTTGCTTCCAGGGGTGCCAGTGGGTGTCTTAGTTCTGTTTTCTAAACTGTTTGAACTTTCCACAAACTCATCTCCAAATTTGAAAGGTCTTTGGAGGTCACCCAAGTCCTTTTCTCTGGTTTACAAATGAAACAGTCAAGGCCCTGAGAAGTTACGTGGTTTGCCCTACGTGGTACACTCGGACTGACTGTGCAGCAAAAATATACCTGAAACTATCAATCACACAATGGCCCTTTATCTCTCTTTTAAGAAACTTCACCAATAGGAAAGTTAGGATGTGCAAATATCTGATATTTATTTAATGCCATATATGTCATAAAGAGCACTTCTTGAGACCCAGAGAAAAATAAGAGCACCATTACTCACCCGGTGACAAACCTTTTTGCTACAGCTTGACTCCTCAACTCAACTCAGTGGCAACACGTGAGGCTATATTGAGTTCTCAGGGTTGCTCATGTATATTTCACTGCAACAGGCATTATGCTTTAGCATTGGATGTCAAACAAAAAACAATAAAGCAGTTTGGCTGGTGTGGTGACTGGATGTAATATAAATTACATAAGTGGGAAGTGTGACTGTTTTTCTTTAAGCATACAGTGCTGTTTGGCTTTGTCTCAGAAGGGAAATATATATATTTGTGTGTGTGTGTGTGCGTGTATATATGCACACACTCACACAGTAGGTAGGTAAATAATGTGTACATACATATACACATATATATATAAATACATATATATATATACATATATACATATATATAAATAATGTGTGTGTGTATATATATATACACACACACACACACACACACTCCGTGTATAGTTCTATCAAAATGTGGCCCAAATGCTTATAAATATCACAGTGGTTTGGACGTCCCTTTTTGACAATGTCTGCAACATTTTCTTATAAATTCAATCTGTATAATAAAAATCTGTTCAATGTGAACAAATCAAGATCCTAAGTTTATGGTAGAGAATGTTTAAAAATAAGTATTGGCCAGGCACTGTTACTCATGTCTGAATTCCCAGTGCTTTGGGAGGCCAAGGTGGGAGGATCACTTGAGGCCAGGAGTTTAAGACCAGCCTGTAGAACATAGTAAGACCATGTCTTAAAAAAAAAATTTTTTTTTTTTTTTGGTATTAGCTGGTGGTATGGTTTGGATCTGTGTCTCTGCCCAAATCTCATGTTGAATTGTAATTCCCAGTGTTGGAGGCGGGGCCTGGTGGGAGGTAACTGGATCATGGGGGTGGATTTCTCATGAACGGTATAGCACCATCCTCTTGGCGCTGTTCTCATGAGATCTGCTCATTTCAAAGTGTGTGGCACCTCCTCCCTCACTTTGTCTTGCTCCTGATTCGTCGTGTAACATGCCTGCTTCTTATTTGCCTTCCACCATGATTGAAAACTTCCTGAGGCCTCCTCAGAAGCAGATGCTGCTATGCTTCCCGTACAGCCTGAAGAACCGTGAGCCAGTTACATTTATTTTCTTTATAAATTACCCAGTTTCCGGTATTTCTTTATAGCAATGAAAGGATGGACTAATACAGCTGGGCATGGTAGTGTGGGCCTGTAATCCACCTACCCAAGAGACTGAGGTGGGAGGATCACTGGAGCCCTGGAGTTCAAGGTAACACACTCAAGTCTAGGTGACAGTGCAAGACTCTGTCTCCAAAAAAGTGTTGCTTTGTTTTCAAGAATATCTATTAGTTAGAACAAAGTAGCTATAATTAGATGAATAAAATATTCCTCAGTCAAAAATATTTAAGGTTTGTAACAAATAGAGAATAATTTTGTAATATTTACATATATTTGCATATAAATGATTGCATGTAAAATATCCAAATTATTGTTTCCTCTAAAATTACTTAATGCTTTACAACCTTTTTATACTACAACTTTTTAGTGTATACATTTTCAGAGATAGCATAAAAGAAAATACTTCCCTGGTCTGACCAAATAATCAAAAATTTCACATTTTTAGGCTCAGAAATAATAAAATTGCATTGTACCTACTTCCATACCAATTATTTTTCTCTCCTCCCTTAAGTTCAGCACTCCACCCCTACTGTCCTTATATTACTCCAGACTCATCACTTCATAGCTGGAGAGTTTCCTAGCTCATGTCCCTGCCTCTCCTGCCACCTACACCCCATGCCATCAGCAGCAGCAGTGTCCTCCACCACCCTTTCACCAGCCTCTTCCTCACTCAAAAAGGCCCAACCCATTCCTCGTGAAGCCATGTTGGCACTTGTCAAGTATTAACTTCTTTTTCCTAATACTCCCTAACTTGTGGCCTCCTCTGACCTTTTGCCCCTCAGCTTTTTCTAGTTCTCATCTTAGTACTCATCCATAATCTCCCTGTCTGGCATCCTGGAATACCCTCTCCACATCCTCATGCCCCCACATTTCTAAAATCTACAAGCTTTATGACCCTTTATGAACCGCCTTAATTATCACTTTCTTTGTGAAACTATATTCTTTTGTTCACTTCTATGGTATATACCTCCAATATTATACTAAGATGGGGACATTATTTCTTTTGCTCAAGGAACTATAAAAAATAATAACAACCACCACAGCACAGCATATTGTACTTACTATGTGCCAGGGAGGAGTACTAGTTATTAACTCATTTAATCCTCACAAAAACACAATGAATTAGTTACTACCATTATACTCATTTTACAGACAAGAAAACAGAGGCACAGAGAAATCAAATAACTTGCCTAAGATTACACAGACTAAAATCCAGATACTGATGGAACCACAATCTCTTGTTACAGAAATCAAGCATTTAGTGATTCAGCACAAAACAATGTACATTGAATTCTTATCAAGCAAGTTATTGTGTTATGCACTCTATAAGGGACAGAAAACTTAGTAAGAAAAAATCTGTTTTATCTAGCATTTCTATTACATTCTTTATCTAGCCTGCTTTAATTGGTGATGATTTTGTGTTTAAACCTTGCTTTCTTAACTAGGATACCTGCAAGTATTTACAATGCTAAGTGGAAATTAAACAAATACAAGGATTACTCTAAGATAAGATATATTAGAAGTGCCAGGTTTATAAACAAGGCTCCAAATCCCATGTGGGACTGGAATGTGGGGGTGGAATGTTGGGATTAGTCAAAAACCCCAAATTCACACAATGTTAATGTTGCTTTGAAAAGTCTAATTTGTATGACTCATATAATGGAGGGATGCAAGGGAAAAGATGAGGAAGGCACTGCAGTAGAAGTAGAAAAAAAGGAAGGATGACTGATGTGGGGGAGTAGCAACAACAGGGCTTGGGAGCTGGCCTTTCATAATTACCCACATCACACTCCCTAACTGGCCCATGCCTTGAACCATGACTATATTTAATCACCTATATTTAATTTATCATTTTGGTTAAATCCTTTCTTCCTTTGATCTCTGACTTATGACAATGAGTGTAATTTTGAACTTTTCATTTGAAGCTCATAGGTTGGATTGGGACCTCACTGTGACAGATCAAGGACAAGTGCTATGTATATCTTTTATGTAACCACAGAAGTTATCATACTTATAATGTTAAGCATGTAGGAGTTTAATAATTAATTATTAAGTTGTTAATTATTATAAAATGAGTGAGAACTGCTACACTGCTGAATCATCATTCAAATCTACAAACACTTGTTTTGGTCGCATTTGATATCTCCCAGAGCAAAAGATGCCCCATCTTTGAGGTGGGAGTTATGTGTGGACATAGATTCTTTTCAGATCATAAAGACTCGTTGCAAGAATAGGCCTAATCATTTCCTCAGAATAGTTTGTCACCTTTCAAACTTGTAACTGAAGATTTAGACATACATTTAAAAATATTTTTTCTGTTTTTTATGAATTATGTGCTTAACACAATTCAAGGCTAATAAACCATTTTAGATCTTGTTGTTCTAATTGCCTAAACCAATGGGGCTCTCATGATTAGCCTCATTGTCTCCTCTTCATGACCTCACAGCTCACAGGTAACACAGAACAAATTAAAGGAGGCTCCACCTTGAAATTTACACAATAGTCTTCCAAGCTGGCAGATTCTCCAAGATTGCTGTCTAGCTACAGGAGGGAAGAACATTAATAAAACAAAACAAAACACCTGCAAGGACCTGCCAAAACTAATGACGTGTTGTGATTCCACAGCTGATGTCTCAGGATCACTATGAGAAAAAGAGGGGAAATTTCTTGTTCAAAGTTCCTGTTTCATATGTCTGAAAACAAATGATCCATTGATACAGAGATCTCTAATGTCTCAGTGTCAGAGATCTTCAGAACTATGCCCTTGCAAAGTCTCGGAGTTGGAAGGAAGAAAAAAACAGAAAAGCAAACAAACATAATTTTCTTTGGATTTTTAATTCCTTCTTCCTTTTTTTTTTCTTTTTAAACTTTAGGACAGGATAAAATTACTTAATTTGAACTTTCAAAGAAAAGTTAGGAAAATAAAAGCGTCTCTTGGTTTCGACATCAAAAATGTATGAGAAGTTTGCCCTCTTTTGCTCTTTCTTGGACATTCACATAATGTTCAAAATTTGTCACAAAGAAGAAATAGCATATTCTGTTTACAGACATCTTTGTGATACTGAGAGCCAGCCCCAGAAACCAGCATCATAAACACATATATGAAAAGCATCGATATCAAGATCATCCAGCATTTCTGAAGGAATCTCTGAACGTATTTTTTTTGTTTGGTTTATATAATGCTAGAAACCATAGAAGAGTGGAAATGAAAAAAAAAAGACAAACTTGGGAGACTCACTTTGGCAGAAAGAAAAGATAAAGAATTTTCAAAACTCTGGCCCACTTGGTTTTCCTCCATGTCTTGCATATATACGTTCCTACGTCAAACATGCAATAAAACAAAACCTCTCTACTACATAGTAGATAAACTAAAGGATTCCCAGTGAAACTGAAATTAATTTTTAGGGCTTGGCTTATTCTAATGGGCAGATTTGTGTGAACAAGAACAATAAAAACCAAAAAATTCACCATTTTTCATTAAAAATGGGACCACAAGACTTAGGTTCTACTGAATAACAACACTTCTCTATCAACCAGTTCTTTTTCGCTTTTCAACATTTTTATCTTGCCTAATGCTATCACCTTGGGATACTTGTATTTCCAGTGTTTCTTTATTTTTAGATCATCTGACAATCCCTTTTTTCTTTCTGAAGAAACAATACTGTTTTCAAAACTCCAACCAGGATAAAGCTTCTGGCAACATGACAAAGTCTAGACAAATAAATTAAAAGCACCAGTTGAGCAGTTACAATATTTAGTGCCTCATTAGTTGAAAGGAGCAAATGTTCCACAAGGTAATCTGTTAAGAAATACAAGCTTTTTTTTCAGTCTAGATTTATAGTCAGTCTACCTGGAGGTGCTCCTGGCATTTTAATTTTGTGTAAAAAGTAGAGTAGTATTAGCAAGAACTATGGTAGTGGAATGGATTCAGTGTCCATTAGCACAAAGGGAGAAAAGTGATCATTAAATGTGAATATACCCGGAAAGACTAGAGAAAATACCAGCAAAAATACAGTAAATGCTGTCCAGATTTGGTCCCAGTAAAGACATTTCTTGGTTTCCATTTATATCACTTTAAACTGGAACTGTTGCTATTTCTCTCATATACAAGAAGTGCTCTTACACAGTAACACATTCTAATTCGTAGAATGATACTAAGGCAATGAGACTAGAGATCCTTTGTGACCAAATCAGAGTGACATTAAAAAAAAATAGTTACAGACTAATCTGACATTGTTCATCCCATCCAAATAACAAAAAACAATCACTACACTTTCTATTTTCAATTCCACTACCTCATGATTCCAAGTGTTTGTTATTTCAGGAGCATCTGTTATGTCTCGCAAAGCATTTCTCAACCTGGCGATTGCTAACTTGGAGGTCAGGCCACTGAAGCAGGAACAAAAAAGAGCTGTTAAAAAACAAAAGCCCAAGGCTCCCACTGTAAATTTGGTCTTCTGAAAAACACTATCAAAGCTATGAACATTTCAATAACCAGAATTTGAGAATTCCAAACTTTTAGAGACATCTTTTCTGCCTATGAGAAAACTGCACTGGAGAAAAAAGACAGCAATGCATAACAAATATATTTTGCAGAGTAATATGAATTTCTTGAGTACAAGTATCAAATAGCAGTAAAAAATATAATTTAGTTGCCTTTTTTCTGGCTAAGTCCTTTTGCTCACCTGTGGTATCACTCCAAAGGCTTTCCTCCACTGTTGCAAAGTTATTGAATCCCAAGACACACCATCGATCTGGATTTCTCCTTCAGTGTTCAGTAGTCTCAAAAAAGCTGATAACAAAGTACTCTTCCCTGATCCAGTTCTTCCCAAGAGGCCCACCTATAAGGTAAAAGTGATGGGATCACTTCTGTGACATATAGGTACCATGCCATAAACATAATTCAGTATTGTACTTCAATAAAAACCATTGGAATATTTTATCCTGTCACCAGTGGAAGATTTTCACTTATTCATTCAAACCTTGTTGCACACTTTCAATCCTGACCAATGTTGATATATGGAGACAAACAACCTTGGAACAGAATAGAGAAACTGGCCATAAGGAATTGGACCCCTGATGCAGACTTCCTTTATCACTGACCTTTACTAATGACAAAAAGATTGAAAATGCCCATTTTGCATAAAGGAAAAGCAAAGAGTGTCTTCATGCACATCATCTCTAAACATAGGCTCAAGCCAGAAGCAGAGACCTGCAATTTGATCTAGTACCCAAAGTGGATACGACTTAAAAATTAATCTGAAATAGTTCTAATATTTAGATGTTGACCCTAATAAATTAATTTGGTGAAGTTCAAGCCTGGCAATAAACAATGATATGTTCAGGCAGCAGTATATTCCCAGAGAAGGCAGGTTGGGCGAAGGCCTTACCACTCCTCAGTGAATGAGTACTTTGGACAGTTGTCAAATCACATTCTGACATTCACCTGGATTGGCGAGAAGGGAATTTCAGAAAGCAAAATGTATAGTAAGGAAAAGAAAGAAAATTATTCTTGTTACCTAAAGACCATAAGAACATAGCATAGACGTGAGAGCACCATGCACTGCATGAGGAGATCAAGTGCTAGAGGTGACCCACAGAGAGCCCCAACTCTGTGTTCTGATGTCAGCTTAGATGCCAGAACTTGAGGAGGGTGCTTTGAGCAAGGTAGAACACTACTGCAGTCATTAACTGACCACTGAAAAAACTGGCTGACAGTTAGTGGCACTGAATAAATGGTTGTTTCCTTCTCCTTACATAATTTGTTTTTAAGTCATTTGGCCTTTATATACTATAACTGAGCAAATGGTCTTTTAGTATAATGCTTTTCAATCTGTAGTGAAGGACAGTTTTGTTTTCTTTTTAAATTTCTAATTCACTACATATCAATACTTCAAAAATATATAATAAAAATGAACTTCTAAATATTCACTCTCAATTTCTATACTATGTCATCATAGAAAAGTAAGTTTGTAAACCAGAACCAGTGAAGGGACCACAATAAATGTTTTAGAGTACATAACAACCCTTAATAAGAATAATTTATTGAACACTATTTGCAATCTGGTAATAAACTAGGTCTTTGGGATAAGCTGATAAGCAATAATGACACAGTTGACCCCCTATCCATCGTAAGAACTCTACAATGAGATTTTCACAAATGTTTGTTCTCAGACAACTGAGAAAATCAGATCAATCAAATGTTAAGTACAATACTCTGTTGAATTTCTTCATATTATTAATCACAATCAGTACTTTTTTTATTTTTTCTTGATTATTGCTTTTGTTTGTACCAAAAATATAAGTTCAACAAGGACAGGGGAGTCTATCTTGTTTTGCATTGAATTCTTAGCACCTGGCTTACCCAAAGTGCCCCATAAATATTTATTTGAATTGACTAAGGGATAGCCAGATGGAAGAATGGATGGATTTATGAGCAGATGAATGAACTTATGTAATTTAGCTGATCTAACAAATAATGGATTTAATCAATTTTGTTCAATTGCTAGATAAACTCCTAATTTTAAAATATTGTGGAATTTCAATGCACATTTTCATTTATGAATCAGCTCATGTTGCACAAACACATTCATCATGTGTCATGATTTTTCTAACACAATAGTAAAGTGTTGTATAAGCAACTTGAATATGCCCAGTGCAGGTGAGGTACAGGGGAATAAAAGAAAGGAAAGTTCAACAGGTGAAAGTAATTTGCTATAAGGTCATATCAAGAATTTTGGTAAGAAGTGCTTGAGGTCTAAATCCTTGTTATCATTAGTCAGATTTCTAATGAGGATTAGATAAATGTCCATGTTCCCTTTTCTTCAGAAAAAAATACTAAAATTTTTAGAGAACTCAGTTTTTAGGTTGGGAAAGACTGGATGAAGAGGCAATTTGTAAATCTTTGGTTTAGCTTTAAAGGTTTTAGCTATTACTCTGGTTTCCTTATATCATTGAACTGCTGGTAATGCATGATATCTGACACATTTTTCAAAGGCAAGGAATCACTGGTTTGTACCCAACAAAGTCTTCTTGTTTATATAACTGGCACATAATAATTAGTTTCCGGGATTTGTTTTTCCAGGCTTCTCAGTGATCTGTTGAATAAGGCTAGAGTACTTCCCGCAAATAAGCTTTTAAGACATACCCTAAATCTAAGTCAGTGTTTTCTAATAACTTCAATGCACCTCCTCCCTGAGAATGTTGGATCAAGATAAATCAAAATAATATGTTGAAAGTTAAACAGTGTTGAATTTGGTGCTAGCTGTAATTGCATTGTACCATGAATAGAACATTTCCTTTCAGGGTGTCTTACTCGCCATTTTAATACTGCAACAGATGGAAGACTCTTGTAATTATTTTTCATTACCTTGTGGTCTCCAGAAATCAAGATGACAAGTCAACTGAAATTTAGATCCACAAGGTGATTATAATTGAATCTTTTATGTGTTCATATATCTCTATTAATTATTAATGAAACATAGTATTGAGAATATGCTGCTTATACCCACTGAATGATTCAACTACTTTACACCAATGTTTATCAAGATAGAAAATGGGATATGTGTTTAACAAAGCAAACAAGTATTTAGGTGTTTGTGCTGATATGATTTGAATCCTTGATATTCTTATAAATTATTTCTGAAATTTCTGTATTTTCAAGAGACTACAAATGGAGAAAGCAGTTAAGTTCATCCAAAAGTATAGACCTTAAAGTACTATCAAATATCTATTTAATCAGAGGACTATCCAGTACTGTGATATATACAATATACCATATGAGGAATTTTGATTAAGTCCAGATTTATCATGAAGAATCTGACTCCAAATTAAGTTCCCAGTAGGCATTTTGAGAGGAAAAAGAAAAGACAAAAAGGATGAGATATTCTAGTTGTGGGAAGGTGCTCTGGCTATTACAATTTAGATAAAAAGTCAAAAGGTTTTAAGAAAAAACTATTTGAGATTAAAAAGAAAAATGGATTTTAAAAGTAAAGGTTGTGAAATAGCTGCTACATTTTTCATGCATTGAAAATAAAAACTTGTAAAGTATAGGTTCTTTAAATTAAAGGTCTCAGTTAAGAGCAAAGAAAGTAATACCACATCTTTTTCATAAAGTAATTGCTATGGACAAAGTGTTTTCACATGAAGACTGAATAATTTTTCTGCACAGAATATTTATTCTTTTCACCTCTTCACCATAACCAACAACATAGAAATCCATTAAAAATTAAACGAGATGCCCACTTAAGTCCTAAATTTCAACTGCTTTTTTCCCCCCCAAGAAGGGCAGCCTAAAGCTGAGCTGGCAGTGTTTTGGGATATCCAAAAATATTACTAGTATACTAAATTTGAGTTGACTTCTTAATTCAGCACATAAGAAGTATGTTTGGAGCATCTTGTGATAGTTTGCGAGATGCTGTTATAAGTTCTAAAGGCAAGGCAGTAGAATTTATATTCTTCAGAGACTGCTCAGAATAAAATTTTTGTTTTATTTTATTTTTTTATTTTTATTATTTATTTATTTATTTATTTATTTATTTATGAGATGGAGTTTTGCTCTTGTCACCCAGGCTGGAGTGCAGTGGCGCGATCTCAGCTCACTGCAACCTCCACCTCCCAGGTTCAAGTGATTCTCATGCCTTAGCTTCCCTAGTAGCTGGGATTACAGATGGCCACCACCATGCCCAGCTAATTTTTGTATTTTTTGCAGGCACAGGGTTTTACCATGTTGACCAGGCTGGTCTTGAACTCCTGACCCCAAGTGATCCGCCTGCCTTGGCCTCCCAAAGTGCTGGAATTACAGGCGTGAGCAGAACGACATTTTAAGAATCAATTCCTATTCTAAGGAAGCATATAACCTAGAAGTAGATATAAGCTATGCATTCACTTATTTAAAATGTGTTAAGATAGGTAACATGCTAAACAAAGGGATAAAAAAAATAAAAAAACAGGACTTCCAGATTCTGATCTGGTTTGTAGAAATTCTGAAAGTGGTTGGCTTCATCGTAACAAGTAAAAAGCAGAGCACACTGAAAAATAAACAACTTTTCTTAGATCTGTCAGAGAAGTGAGGTCACAGGGCAAACCACTGCCCCCCAAAATGGGAGACAGGCAGTTAGGTACAGAGAATCACAACTTACAAAACAGAAACCAATAAGCAGAAACCTCTGAGAGAACCAGTAGTAGGGTAGGAAAACCTAAACTGTAAGTGAAAAATTGCTGGAGATTCAGTGTGCATGATGTGAGAGCAAGAAAATTCCAAGTGGGTCCAAGTCACTGGCCGACTTCTATACTTTTATGAATTTTGCCTATAGGATGCTTACCAGGTTCTCACAGTGAAGATCAGAGAAAAAAAGGGAAAAGTAACCATTTTCAAATATGCCAGAGCATTCTTTTTTTTTTGAGACGGAGTCTTGCTCTGTCACCCAGACTAGACTGCAGTGGCACAATCTTGGGTCACTGTAACCTCCACTTACTGGGTTCAAGCAGTTCTCCTGCCTCAGCCTCCTGAGTAGCTGGGATTATAGGTGTGTGCCACCACACCTGGCTGATTTTTGTATTTTTAGTAGAGACGGGGTTTCACCATGTTGGCCAGGCTGGTCTCGAACTCCTGACCTCAGGTGATCCACCTGCCTTAGCCTCCCAAAGTGCGGGGATTACAGGCGTGAGCCACCGCACCTGGCCCCAGAGCATTCTATTCTTATAACAATGCCTGCCCTCAAAAGAGACTATTTTACCATGCCTAACCTATCAGGGTTTTTTCAGAGCCTAACTGACCTAGGGGAAGGGAAATACTCAACTCCCGCTCACACTAGTCACTATGTCCCACCAAAAGGGGTGAAAAAACACTTCACAAGTGCTTCCAAGCTGCAGGCGCACAGGCTCACTAAAAGACTAAAACCTAATCATAGGACTACAGAATACTTCCCTCACCCTCTGCTACACCTACCAGTACATTACTAAAGGCCTATTTACTACAGTTCCTTTTACCCAGCACATCATGTCCACCTTTCAATAAAAAATTACAAGGCTTACTAAAAGGCAAAAAAAAAAAAACACCATTTGAAAACACAGAGCAAGCATCAGAACCACAGTCAGATATGACAGGGATGTTGGAATTAACAGATCAGGAATTTAAAACAACTATGATTAACATGCTAAAGGCAGGGCATGGTGGCTCACACCTATAATCCCAGCAATTTGGGAGGCT
The DNA here is from genome assembly GCF_000001405.40 of Homo sapiens. Classification (NCBI taxonomy): domain Eukaryota; kingdom Metazoa; phylum Chordata; class Mammalia; order Primates; family Hominidae; genus Homo; species Homo sapiens. The sequence continues at coordinate 117,637,068 of NC_000007.14, read as the reverse complement.
AAGGTGGGCAGATCACTTGAGGTTAGGAGTTCAAGACCCGCCTGGCCAACATGATAAAACCCCATCTCTACTAAAAATACAAAAATTACTCAGGCATGGTGGCAGGCACCTGTAATCCCAGCTACTTGGGAGGCTGAGGAGGAGAATCACTTGAACCCAGGAGGCAGAGGTTGCAGTGAGCCAAGATCACACCACTGCACTCCAGCCTGGGCAACAGTGAGACTCCACCTCAAAAAGAAAAAAAAAAAAAGCTAAAGGTTTTCATGGAAAAAGTAGGCAACATGCAAGAACAGATGAAAAGCAGAAGAGAAATGGAGATTCAAAGATGGAATCAAAAGAAATTCTATAGGTCAAAAATTCTGTAATAAAAATGTAAAATGCCTTTGATGGACTCATTGGTAGACTGAACACAGCTGAAGAAAGAATCTCTGAGGTTGAGAATATGTCAATAGAAACTTCCAACACTGAAATGCGAAGGAAAAAAAAACTGAAAAAAACAGAATATCCAAAACAGCGGGATGACTACAAAAACTGTAACATACATGTAATGGGAATACCAGAAGGAGAATAAAGGAAAAAAAAGAACAGAAGAAATATTTGAAGCAATAATGACTGAGAATTTTTCCAAATTAGTGTCAGATACCATACCACATATCCAAGAAACTCAGAGAAAACCAAGCAGAATAATGCCAAAAAAAATCCGACACAAAGGCATATCATGTTCAAAAAGAAAGGCATATCATGTTCAAAAAGAAAGGCATATCATGTTCATAAAGAAAAAATCTTGATAGAAGCCAGAGGAAAAAACATCTTACCTATAGAAAGGCAAAGATAAGAATTATATCTAACTTCTCAGAAACAATGCAAGCAAGAAGGCAGTGGAATGAAATATTTAAGGGTTTGAGGGGAAGAAATCACCAATCTAGAGTTCTGTGCCCTGTGGAATTATTCTTCAAAAGTCAAGAAGAAATAAAGTCTCTATCAGACAAACAAAAATTGGGGAAAATTGTTGTCAGTAGGTCTGGCTGGTAAGAAATGTTCAAAGAAGCTGAAGAGAGAAAAGGAAAATTATACAGGTCAGAAACTTGGATCTACATAAAGAAAGAAAGTGTATTAGAGAATGAATAAATGAAGGTATTTCATTTTATAATAAAATTAGAACTATTTTTCTTACTCTTAATTGATTTAACGATAACAGTTTTTTCAAAATAATTTCATCAATATATTCAATCATAAATATGATAATGTATATACTTAGGTATACCCATATATGTAAGTGAACTAAATTATAGCTATAATACAAGAGACTGGAAGGTGGAACTGGGAGTGTTTTATTATTAAAAGGTACTTGCACTACACATGAAATTATTTAGTATTATTTGAAAATGGACTTAGATTAGTTGTAAATGTATATTGCAAACTCTAGGGGCAACCACTAAAAAATGTTTTTTTAAAGAAGAATTACTATGCTAAGAAAAGAAAATGGAAACATATAAAATGCTCGATTAAAACCACAATGGAAAGAAAAAGAGTAGACAATAAAAATATAAACAAAGAACAAGTAGTGTAACAGACAGAAAACAGTAATAAATATAGTAGATGTTTATCTAACTATATCAATAATCACTTAAAATATCAATAGTCCAAATATACCAATTAAAAGACAAAGATTGTCAAAGTGGATCGAAAAACAACTCTGAACTATTTGCTGTCTACAAGAAACCCACTTTAAATTTAAAACCACATATAAACTAAAAGTAAGGGGGATAAAGAAAGTTAAGTCATTTTAACACCAACCAAAAGAGACCTGGAGAGGCTATATTTCTTTCAGAGAGAACAGACATCAGGGCGAGGAAATAATGAGGGGCATTATATGAGGATAAATGGGTCATGCTCCAAAAGACATACCAATTCTTCATGTGTATGTTTCTAGCAACAAAGCATCAAAAGACATGAAGCAGAAGTTGATAAAACTGTAACAAGAAATAGAATATTCACTACTAGAGTTGGAGACTTCAGTGTCCCTCTGCAAAGAATGGACAGATCTAGCAGGTGGAAAATCAGTAAGGACATAGTTGAATTCAACAGCACCATCAATCAACTGGACATAATTGATGTCTATAGACTACCTCATTCAAATATAGCAGAATACACAGTCTTCCAAAGCTTACATGGAACATTCACCAAGATAGACCACATTCTGGGCCATAAATCACACCTTAACAAATTTTATAAAAATTAAAATTATACAATATATGCTCTCAGACCACAATGGAATTAAACTAGAAATCAATAACAGAAAGATAGCTAGAAAATTTTTAAAAATGGTGATTAAACAACACACTTCTAAGTAACACATGGGTCAAAAGAGAAATATCAAGAGAAATTTAAAAATATTTCAAACTAAATGAACATGAAAATACAACTCATGAATATTTGTGAGATGCAGAAAAAGCAGTGCTTAGAGGGAAATTTACATCATTGAATGCATAAGAATGCAAAAGGATCTTAACAATATAAGCTTCCACCTTGGATAACTAGCAAAAGAAGATCAAATTAAATCAAATGTAAGCATAATTTAAAAATCATGAAATTGAAATCACGAAATCAACAGAGAAAATCAATAAAACAAAAAGTTGGTTCATCAAAAACATCAAAAATAGAGATATCTCTAGCCTGGCTAACAAAGCAAAATAAAAGATGTGACACAAATTGCTAATATCAATAAAACAAAAAAGGGGACATCACTACAGATCCCTTGCACATTAAAAGGATAATAAAAGAATACTATGAATAACTCTACGTTGACATATTTGATAACCTAAATGAAATAGACCAATTCCTTGAAAGACAATCTGCTAAAACTCGCATGAGAAAAAATAGGTAATCTGAATAGGCCTATATCTATTTTAAAATAATTAATGACCTTCCAAAACAGAAAGCACCAGGTCCAGATGGGTTCACTGGTGAATTCCACAAAATATTTAAAGTAGGAATTTTACTAATTCTCTGCAATCTCTTCTCAAATGTAAAAGTAGAGGAAATACTCCCTAACTCATGCTATGAGGCCAGCATTACCTTAAAACCATAAGCAGATAAAGATGTCACAAAAAACTACACACCAATATTTTTTCATGAACACCAATGCAAAAATTCTCAAAAAGTATTAGCAAATCGAACTCAACATGTATACAAATAATTATATACCACAACCAAACGGGATTAATCTCAGGTACAAAAGGTTGATTCAGCATTCAAAAATCAATTAATGTACTTCACATCAACAAGCCAAAGAAGAAAAATAAAGTGCTCAAATCAATAGTTGCAGAAAAGCATTTCACAAAATTTAACACCCATTCCTGATTCTTTTTAAAAATCAGCAAACTAAAAATAGAAGGAGACTTCTTCAACTTAAAAAAAAAAAACTTCTACAAAAACCCTCCAGCTAAAATCATACTTAATGATAAGAAACTTGAAGTTTTCCCACTAAGATCAAGAACAAGACCAAGATATCCCCTCTCACCACTACTTTCAACATCATACTGGAAGTCCTAGCTAATGAAATAAGAAAAGGAGATAAAGGTATACAGATTGGGAAGGAAGAAATAAAACTAAGTTCAGATGATGATAATCTATGTAGAAGATTCAAAATAATTGACCAAAAAATCCTTGAAACTATCAATAATTGATTATAGCAAAGTTGAAAGATATAAGGCTAACATGCAAAAAAAATCATTTTCCTATATAACAGCAATGAAAAATTGGAATTTGAAATTAAAATCACAATACCATTTACATTGGCATTCCTCAAAAACAAAATACTTGAACAAAATATAACAAAATATTTTAAAAGACTATATGAGGAAAACTAAATTCTGATAAAAGAAATCAAAGAATCAAACAAATGGAGAAATATTTCATAATGATGAATAGGAAGCTTCAACATTGTCAAGATGTCAGTCCTTCCCAACTCCATCTATAGATTCAAGCCAATCACAATCAAAATCCCAGCCAGTTATTTTGCATACATTGGCAAACTGATTCTTAAGTACATAAAGAGAGGCAAAAGACCCAGAATAGCCAACACTGTATCAAAAGAGAAGAAAAAAGTCAGATAACTGAAACTACTCAAGTTTCATGGGTTTAGCTTATAGTTGAATTAAAAGATTGAGGGAGCACAACACAAATACCTTCAGTTTCCCAACTCTGTGCTCAAAGGTTCTCTTTAATTCCACTTATCTCCTTTCCTCCTATCTTGGAAAAGATAGTTTTCTCCTCAGTGCAGAGGCAAATGCCTCCATATTGCATTTGCTATGACCATCCCCCACAGAGCAGTGCTCTTGCTTTCTACTTCCTGCCACCAACACTAGTGTTCTACATAGCTTCTTATTTCAGTAACCACCCATTCCCTAACCTTTTGCAACTGGTCTTTTACCATTGCTCCTTTATACCTAATGGCGTTCTTTTTCATTTTCCTTTCTTTTTTCTTTTTCTTTTTCTTTTTTTTTTTTGAGACAGTGTCTCACTCTGTCATCCAGGCTGTAGTGGTGCCATCACAGCTCGCTGCAGCCTTAATCTCCTGGGCTCAAGCGATCCTCCTGCCTCAGTCTCCTAAGTAGCTGGGCCTATAGGCACACAACACACGCCCACCTAATTTTTGTGATTTTTGTGGAGACAGCATTTTGCCATGTTGCCCAGGCTTGTCTAGAACTCCAGGGCTCAAGTGATCCTCCCACTATGTCCTCTCAAAGTGCTCGATTACAAGCATGAGCCACCACACCCGGCCCTAATGGCCTTCTTAAACAAGGGAGGGCTTTCATGCTTGGGCAAGAATGCATCAGCATGGTCGGGAAGTTGTGCTGAAACTCAGACCCCGTTCACACCCTCAGAATTTTTAATTCTTTGTTGGGGCCCAAGAATGAACATTTCTCATAAGTTCTTACGTGGTACAGGTGATGCTGGTTCAAGGACCACACTTTGAGAAGCCCTGCTCTTAAAGATGACCAAAGACCACTAAAAAAAGAAAACAAACTGTTTTCCCTATCCTACTGACAATACTTCTGACACCAACAATGTGGGTTTTCGACACCAAGCAATGCTGACAACTGTCTGTTATTAGCATAGACCCCACAGGATAAGGGCTCATTCCTGTAAGACTGCCTCCCAACACACTTCAAATGCCAATGGCAAGCCCAGATTGTCATCTGTGCTTCTGACTGTGCATCTGTAAATTGCACGTATCCATGAACTCTTTAGGTTTGATAATTTGCTAGAATGGCTCACAGAACTCAGGGTAACAGTTTACTTACTAGGTTACCAGTTTATTATAAACGGATACCTCTCAAGAACAGCCAGATGGGAGAGATGCATAGCAAAATGAATGTGGGAAGGGGAACAGAGATTCTGTGCTCTCTCTGGAATACCACCTTCTGAGCACCTCAATGTCTTCACCAGCCTGGAGGCTCTCCAAAAAGTTCCAGTTAAGGCTTATCGGGTGGCTTCATTACATAGGCATGGTTGATTAAATCACTGGCCATTGTTGATTTTACACAATTTTCAGCCACTCATCCCTCCCTGGAGGTCAAGGGGGGAAGATGAAAGTTTCAACCCATCCCCCTGACAACCAGCCTTTCCCCACTCCTGTCTTTAGGGACTTCCCAAAAGCCACTTCATAAATAGAAACTGGGGTATGGTTGATAGGGGCTTGATATGAATAACAAAGGATGTTATTCACCTGTATTTCTCTAGAGCTATTTCAGGAACTAGGGGGGGAAACATATAACAAAAGATGCTCCTGTAGCTCTTATCACTTAGGAAATTCCAAGGGTTTTAGCTCTGTACCAGGAACCAAATAGCACCTAATAGCAAAATCTACCTGGATTATCTGAGTTTTCGACTATATTGCTTTAGCTCTCAAAATCCAAAATTGGAGGTTGGGCACAGTGCCTCATGCCTGTAATCCTAGCACTTTGGGAGGATGAGGTGGGAGGATCACTTGAGGCCAGGAGTTTGAGACCAGCCTGGGCAACATAGTGAGACCCTGTCTCTGTATTTATATAGATAAAAAAGAAAAAAAATCCACAATCTCTTATCTATCTTGCTCCAATCTTGTCTCCCATTACTTCCTTTGGCATCCCCCAACCTGACTGAACCAGTCACTGTTTTCTGTGCATGCCCTTTGCCTCATGTTATGCCCTTTGCCTGGAGCACCCTTTCCCACCCACTGAGACAGCCAAATGCCTAGGCAGATAAGAAAATAAAAGGGTCCCAGAGAATCTCCGAACCACCCCTCAAGTGTTTACATCAGATGCTTTTGCACAGATGAGGGAACCTGCCCAAGGCTTGTCTGGGCATGCCCACCGTGGACTGGAGCCCCACATGCACACTAAGGGGAAGTGGGTGGAGCCATGGGGAATTTGCACCTTATGCAGGGGAGAAGCCCGATCTCTTCAGTTCCTTTGTGGTGGCCTGGGATTCAATCTGTGAGCAAGACTCCATCTCGATTTGCTGAGTTTTCTTTTTTTCCTTTTTGCCCAATAAAATCCTGCTCTACTCATGCTTCAATGTATCTGTGTGCCTAAATTTTCCGGATCATGTGACAAGAACCCGGGTTTTTAATAGAACTAAGGAGCAAAATTCTGCAACACCACCTTTACTTGTTCAAATACACAGCTCAGTTCTCAAAGCTTCATTCTAAATGCCACTTCCTATATAAAACCTTCTCTTAATAGCCTAACTCTCCGCCAACTGATACTAACTGCTTCCTCCTCTGAATTCCCATAGCATTTACCTGGATATCTCTTATTCAAGGGCATTTCAAGGATTTTGGGGGCCCAAAGCTTGTAAATTTGGAGGGAGGGCTCTTTTCAAGAATAAAGATTATAGAATTATAAAAACAAAATTAGATACATGGCCTTCAAAGTTGGCTCAGGCAAATGAAGGTCTGTGAAACTTAAGCTTTGTTATTGCCACAATAAATCTGCCTCAGGTTTCAGTGGATCTTACGTTTTCCCTTTTAGATTATCATGTCCTGGGACAGAAACTTTCTCTCTTCCCCTGCCCCATGTTTTCTGTTCTTCCACCTTTAAAGAGGAGCAATGGTATCTGGGTTTAAGATCCCTGCTTCCTTACTCACTTAATTGAACCTCAGTTTCCTCCATTGTGGAAAATAAAAGCAATCATTTCTGCCTTTAGAGTTATAATAAGATCAAATGTAATAGCAAATAAAAGTGTTTAAACAGTACTTAAGATATGATAAGCTCTCAATAAATATTAGAGTCCCTCTTTGGATGTGTCAAACAAAAATTATAGGAAGTCATTGTTTTAGATTAAGCTCTCTCACGAGGCCTCAACAGACCAGACTAAAAGTAAAAATGGAGTCACCCATGTTCACCAAAGCAAAACTCAGTTGTTATCCGGCCTTCTAAGAAATCAAGAAAGAAGACAGCCTGATTTCCCAAACAAGTCAGTTTCAAACTTCAATCTTAAAGTTTCCTCTGTTTTAATTCTTAATCCAATGTTAACCAATCAGTGACTTTTCTATTATTCTGTCTCCTTGTCCCCACCTTTCAAGAAAAGTAACTTTGAAATGACCAATTCTCTTATTGTTCTTTGTTTCTGCTTCCTTTGGCCCTTTTTTTGGGTCTATAAAGCCAAGCTCCTTTGCTCAACTTATTGGAACACTTACTCCAATTTGTGAAATGAAGGACTGTCCAAATCTAGAATAGAAAATAAAGCTGACTGAGGTCTTTAAACTAAATTTGTTGTCATTTTGTCTTTTGACAAATGGCACAATCCATAGCCTTATGTGAGTAATTTCCAATTCCCCCAAAGTACCTAGAGAGTGCCTTGCAGTGAATAGTTACTGAACACGCATGGCCTATTTTGTATATACAGGTTCAGAGAAAATGAAATATCTAAGCATATTACTTCTTTCTCATTTTGCTACATCTCTAATTACTAATCTCACATCAGGGAAACTTCCTATACTAATGAGGACTCCACAAATTCTATTACTTTACTAGGGCTTGCTTGAGTTTAATTTAGTGGACAAATGAGCATCAGCAAAGCAAAGGGGTGGCAGGATGTCAGGAGGAGAGAAAGTCAATTTATCAAGGCTTTCTACCAGGTTTATACCAACCTATTCTGGCTATTGTTTATAATAATGATATCACTTTTGGCATTCATCTTGGCGACCCCAGGAAAAAACACTTTCAGCTACCTATGGTATTCACTGATATGAATACCTATGGTGTTCTGTTTTAAGCCATTTCACATGATACACAGGGACTTTTCGCACATCCTATATATATGTTTTCACAGAATTTGTACAATGCATTAAATGTTTATCAAATATTCTAAAATCCATGGGCAAAATCAAACTCATATATTCTGAAACTCATGAGCAAAACTGTTTCTATGTCAGTGTTAGTAACGGTGACCTAACATCTTTACTAACTGTATCTCTCTCTATATTTTTGTATCTGTGTTTGCAATTAACCACAGAGAGATAAAGTTTTAAAATTCAGTTTGCAATTCAGTTTTCAGCTCCCTTTTATTTTATCTAAAAAATATCAATCAAAATATATAATACTCTTGTCTAGATTTATAGAGCAGTCCAGAATAGGGATTTGAAGGCAATTAAGAAATATGTTTATGGAGCCTGAAGTATATGGATAATGACCATCCCTGTCTCCAAGAATCAATTCCAGAAATCAGTATATATTAAGTTCCTTCTATGTGTTCAGCCCAGTGCTGGGATCCATAAGAAGGATTTCAAAATAATGTCAATTACTCATGCTTAATAAATATAGTAAATAACTGGGAAAAAATAATCTATGTCTGAATTAAAACTTCAAAGAAAAACAAAACAAACAAACTGAAAAAAGCTAGAAAAAAAGTATCACTTGTTTGGCAGAATGGAACTTAGATAAAATTTAAGACAATAGATGGAGTCAGCAATAAGATATTTTTGGAAGACATTTTCAAGATGGGAAATCTAAAACATGTTACAATTTTGATTTATTTAATGGCTTCTTTAGTTATTAACCTAGCAATTAATTAGATATTCTGCAAGTACAATCACATTTAAAATAAACCCATTATATAGGTTCAGGACTCTGCAAATTAAATTTCATATTAAAAATAATGACTCCATATAATAAAACATGTGTGTTTAATATTGATTCTACTGTACAATAATAATGTTACAAATAGATTCTGCTAACACATTGCTTCAGGCTACTGGGATTCACTTACTGAACACAGTCTAACAAAGCAAGCAGTGTTCAAATCTCACCCTCTGGCCAGGACTTATTGAGAAGGAAATGTTCTCTAATATGGCATTTCCACCTTCTGTGTATTTTGCTGTGAGATCTTTGACAGTCATTTGGCCCCCTGAGGGCCAGATGTCATCTTTCTTCACGTGTGAATTCTCAATAATCATAACTTTCGAGAGTTGGCCATTCTTGTATGGTTTGGTTGACTTGGTAGGTTTACCTTCTGTTGGCATGTCAATGAACTTAAAGACTCGGCTCACAGATCGCATCTGAAATAAAAATAACAACATTTTTGTTTTTAAGAATGGCAGACAATTTCACAATTAGTTTGATGCTTCCTAAAAAATAACTTGTAAAATGCAACACTTGCTATTTGTCACTTGGTTATTTGTCGGGCTTTTCAATGAACTAACAGGAAATAATTGGATATAATTAAAAGTTTAACTGAAGAGAAATAACCAGGACTTATATAAATGGGCTCTGTATAGGCCTGTTTATTTTTGTGATCACCTAATTCTCAGTTATGTAAGCCACACAAGGGAATAGATGACATCAAAGAGAAAATTTATTTCTACTATGAGCAGCACTGCACAATGCTGTATAACCGGTATATTATAATAAAATGTACCACACCTCAAAACCACTACTGAAGATTCTTCTCTTTCTCTCGAACTACCTTAGTAACTAACTATAATTTTATGTGTCAACCAGGTGGTTAAGTGAACTCTTCATGATTAGACAATTTTAAACAACTTTGCTATAATCTTTAAACAATTTAAGTCATTGGCATACATCTGCAGTTAAATAATTACACTTTTAATATAAATTACTTAAATATTCATTTTTAGTGCTAAGGAAAATATAATTGCATATAAGGGTTATATTTGAAATTAAATATTTATCTGCTTTATAAATCTATTCATGTAACATTTAGTAAAGTTTATCTTTAATGCATACAGAAATAAAAGGACTTGATAATTTTTAAAGGTGTTCAATTTTTTTTAAAAAAAACATACATCTCTGAATAATTATGACTTACGGGAATTTGGAATGTGATTTTAAAAACAACTTGGCATATAATAAGTACCCAATATATATTTGAACAATACATGAATAAAGGAATGAATATACTAATGAGTAAATAAATATAAATGAATAAAAAGAAAGAATTTGAAGACCGAATTCACTCAACTTCTATTTTTAAAAGATACCATCTTTGATCCTGTGGCTCAATCCTTCCCAGATATTAGTAGCTGATTAGACACAATTTTACTGCTCTTATTTTTAGTCTTACTAGTAATTATTGATGCTGGCTTTATTCAGTCAAAAACTTAACTAGCTTTCCTTTACAATATTAACACATCATCTTATTTACACCAAACGTTTAGACTTCAAAAATTATTCTTTTTGGAAAAAAATGTGGGCAAAAGTGTATTTGCTTCTGTTATTTCTATTTTTCCTTATCAAAAGGTGAAATGGGAACAATTCTTCATCTTTAATATGGAATGATTGGTGGATAAAGCAGAGGAGTTTAGAGATAGATCCTTAATTGAACGTTAAAATTCCATCTTAGCAATTCTAACTGTATTGCCTGTTTTCCCATGCCATTGATCAAGCCTGCACTGTTTGTGAAGTTCTTTTTTCACTCTAGTGATTCTGTGCTTCAGTTTCCTTCATCTTGAAAATATCTTCAAATTGTCTTCAGCAATTATTCAAGATTCAAGAAAATAATCCTTTGAAGTCAAGCCCACTGTTAACGGATGTGAAAAGGACCCAAAGCCCACAACCTAAATAATGATAGAGAAAGTAAAAGGCATATAGTCATGATTGTTCCACATGTAATATTTTAAATTCTGAATTATGAGTTACTTTCAGGGGTAGCTAACTCTTGACTCAGTCATTCTTGATTAACTTTGAATTAAAATACACTCACACTGTCACTAATTTTCATAGAGAGCTGCTAGTCTATAATAAGGTCTGGGAGATAAAATTACAACTACTATTGAGATGAAACTGCCAGAGATGTAGTTAAAATTCATTTAAAATATCTTATTGTATTTATCCTGCATAAGAATAGTATCCCTCTCTTGAAATAATTGAAGGGTATACACAAATGTAGATTAACTGTATAAAGTTGAGACTTGATATTTTTGCATGTTAATTCTATACACAATTCTAAACTTATATTTTATTAAGCAAGATAGGAAAGACACTATATAACAAAAATCCTTCACATTTTAATACTTCCAAACAATCTATAAAACATTTAACTGTTGCTATCTAAATGACTCAAAATTACACATAGTAGTATTAGAAAATAAGGACTTTCAAAACCACTATTTTGGTAGCACTGGAATGTAACATACAATGTTTTCTGTTTAGGACTTGTGTTTGAGCATTGCAAATTACATTCTCCATTAGTGAAGCTCACCATAGAGGGTGAATCCAGAACTTCTAATGTCAAATGTGACAAATGGAATGTACCAATCAAATTTAGAAAATGTAACTTTCCAACTCATTGTCTGTCTAGCTGCTTAATGTGACTCTAAGACAGCCTATTATAACTCCCCACAGCATGCCCAAATATGCATAGCCAAGAACGTGTGATTTAATCTTAAGACTGGGCACTCATTCACAGCATATGAGCAGACAGTCATTCAATTCAGTGGGTGAGAACATTTTCTGACAGGAAGAAAAAGTGGCTTGTGCAGACACTTTCACCATGGTCAGTTGTGCAGCCACTGAAATGCCATTACTGAATAGATGTGGACAGCTAACATTATGAATTACTAACCAATTCCTTGTAGTCGTGGGCTTTCCACCTTGGATATTCTACCTCCAGTACCTCTGGAAGGAGAGGCCACATCAGAACCAGAGCAGAACAAATCAATTCTGATCATTTAAGTTTCAAAAACTGACTTTTGAAACTCAAGTCAGATATGGATCATTTGAAAATTTTGAGCCATGTGAATATTGGCCATTAAGCGCCAAAAGCCAAAGCCTAAGGACTCAAAACATAGTGTCTATGCAAAAACAGTAGCCATAGACAAAAATTATGATGGATTAGAAGCAGTCACTCTCCTCACCCCATAAATGGGGTCCATAAATGGGGGTAACAAGAGGGTTTAGATACCAGGTCCTCTAAGAAAAGTTCTGCCTTGCAACCAAATCCTGGTTCTATCCTCAAGTAGATTTGGGGAATTTTAGAACAAAGGAGGCCCGTGCCTCAATTCCAAGGCAAAGCCCAGGAAATACTCATGCCATAGTGAAGCTTCCTGTGCCTTGCATGACATGGGAGCAGTAGAGTGAACATGGTTGCTTGGAATGTCTATGCACAGATGGCTTGATATAGCTTCAGATTTGAATCTTTTTACCCCTCAGGGGCATGGAAGAAACTGAAGAAGGGTCAGCAAGCGAGAGCTCACAGTGAGAACAAGGACAGACTCCATCTACCTGGACCATGCCCCTCTAGGTCACATAGGAACATCAGTGCCTCAGAGACAGTGAGCACGGACAAAAGATGATGTAGGGCAACACACTCCTTAATTCCTAATATCATGGCATTCTGTAAACTCCACTTAGAACCCAGCAAAATCTCTGAATTCAATGATATTATTTCTTTCACTCAGTGGAATGCGTGCTCAAATAGAAAATAAACTCAATCACAGAAAAAGTAAAGTCATATTTCTTGTACACTTAATTTCATAGTCAAAGATTCATAGCTGCTACCAGGGGTAGATCCAGGTTTTGTGGAGCCTGAAGCTTAAGTAATTTGGGGAACTCTTAAAAAAAAAAGAATCCAAATCCAAACTATGCATATAAAATTAAGTATAGGGCCTTCAAAGGAGTTCCTGCACGTGAGAGGACCTGTGGCTTATGTCTCATAGGCTTCATGTTAAACAAATTCTGCCTATGATAGTAACCTCGTTCAAAGCGTTCCTTGTTATAGTCAAACAATGGACAGTTCAAAACATCCCTCCCCATCTAGTGGTTAGCACCATGCAGTCACTTAATAAATCTTTGTTAATAATAAATGAATTCATTATTCTACCTCCTATGCAGAAAGCAGTGTCTGTGCAGTAAGAATGACAGTGCTGTAGGTCTACATTAGCAAGTAGTCCAGGCTGCAATTTTACCCCTCAGCGCCTCAGCCTCAAAATATTCATTGCTGTTTGGATGAGATGGAAGTTACAACCTATTGAACTATTTTTAGTCTCATCTATTTGTTTTCATTGAGCTTTTAACCTCACTTAACCTTTTCTCTCATTTAGAGTGCCTATTAAACATTTTCACCTGATACATAAAAACTACTGTGCCATTGTAGCTACCTAGATTGTGCTGGATAGAAATTCATATTCAGCAATTATCAGAATGACTGGATTGGCAAACTCCTTAACCCCAGCCTGCTGCTTCCTGTGCACAGAAAACAGTTGTCCAAGGAGGATCGAGGGATATCTCTGTCTAGAGCAGCAAGCTGGCCTGCCAGCAGCAAAGTCTCATGATAGCCAACACCCACTTCCGTAGGAGCACTTTTCTTAGACTTTGAGAAATAGAAGATGAAGCCAAAATGAGACCCAACCAATGACACAATGAACCCCATTCTTCATTTGTGGGGAAGAATACTTGACATAAGTTGTGCAGACCTCTGTATATTAGAGTTTAGCCCAAATTTGATGGGATTTTTTCTTAAGGATCATGATCTGGTTTAAATTATTGGTTTCATTATTTAATTTTATTATTCTCCAAAACCTCTTCTGAGCCCCTTGAGAAGGGGTCAATCCTTAAAACTGGACCTCACTATCTTTATAAAAATGTTTAAAGTTACTAACCTAAGCATTAGAAGAACAAAGTGTTTTGGAATTATGACAGTCTTGACAAAAAGATAGCTTCACAGCCTGATCTCAGCCTTACTTTATAAGGGATGCATTTAAGCCAAGAAGAAAACAATTCTTGATTTTCTTTGTCACTTTGTGTGACAAGGAGGGAAGAGGAGGCTTACAGGCTTTTTCTAGAGTAAGTCAAGAAGCCAGACTCCTCTCCCTCACAAAAATATTTGTTCTATTTCCTTTCATCCTTTTGGTTGTTCAGAAGCCAGTACATCAAGATTAGGCATTAACACCCAAACTATGTGCCATCATACCCCAAAATCCATAATAGAAAATACATTTCACACACCTGAGACCTGGCTGGCAACACTATAAAGAGACTTCATAACTGATAGTTATAGAAGGATTGCAAGAAATAAATATGACGAGAGTCATCTAGAAAACTGGCACAATGTAAAAAAGTCACACAGTTTACAGGAAAAATTTTCTAAGTATGAAGTACATAAAAGGGGAGATTTAGGGCTTTTAAATCATAAATCCTTCCCAGTAGGCAAAAACTATGCTTTTCAATACTCGCTAACACAGACCTGACACCCAAGACCAAGGCAGATCCATTAGCATAATCTTTAGGCCATGAACATAAACTTAAGAGATAATAGCAAGAAAACAGACTCTGCCCAAAACATGTTCTTGAAACTCTGGTCTATGTTTCCACATCTATTACTTACATGACTAGAGCACATAAAAAGTCAGTCAAATGCCATGTTGCTATAAATTATTAACAGCATAAATGAGTTATTTATATTATACTATAAACCTAGCCCTTTAGTATATTATTACAGCTTGCTCTCTACAGAAATGGTTTACATATTTTAACCTGTGTCAAATCACTTGAGAAGTCAGTGTCACTTTTTCTATCAGAAGTGACAGAGATGGTGATCTTCACAAAACAGAAACAAAATCTATTTGCAACATGACAAAAGGCATATCCCAAGTTAACACCAACGTTTCAAAATATGCTGGTGCCCATTTCAATAACTAAGAACTTTGGTAAACATGGTACTAAGTGTGTCAATGGGCAAAGGAAGACTCAAACTTACTCTTCCATGTAAAAGGTTGGACATCACTCATCAAATCTATTACTTACTCTGGAGCTTAATTACAATCTAGCTTGGTGAATACAATTGGATCTATGTAGCTTCCACTGAAAATATTTCAAAAGAATTTGCAAAAAGAGGAATCCAAAACAACAAATCAAAATACCTTCTCACAGTTTTCACTATTTTAATATGATTTTTCTCTAAGCATCTTAATTTTGCAATATTATGTCTTCCCCAAAGTACTCTGTCATTAAGCCTCATCCTTTACATGTCTTGTAGAGATTTATGTATGTATCATTGATTGATACAGGACAAAAATCATTTGCTGGTGGTCCATCAATTCAAAAGGAAATTCTATGACATAGACCAGGAGTCAGCAAAACTATGGCCCACAGGACACATCTAGCTACTCCCATTAGTTTACATATTATGTACAGCTGCTTTTCTCTACAAAGACTGAGTTGAGTTGTCATAAAGACGATACAGCCCACAAAGCTGAAAATATTTACTATCTTAGCATTTATAGAAAAAGTTTGCTGAGCCCTCTGCTATGACTCACAGAAAATCAGAGCTAAAATGAGTCTTAGCATGTAGTTCAGTGGTTCACAAGTCTTGCTTGATACACGCTAGAATCACCTGGAGCACTTTTAAAATTACAAACATCATGCTCAGTCACCCTGCCCCCTACCAAGAGAACTGACTTCACTGGTCTTAGTGGACCCTGAGTAATCTGTGTTTTTGCTTTCTTTTGTTTTGTTTTGTTTGTGATGGAGTCTCACCCTGTCACCAGGCTGGAGTGCAGTGGAGCTATCTCAGCTCCCTGCAACCTCCATCTCCCGGGTTCAATCGATTCTCCTGCCTCAGCCTCCCCAGTAGCTGGGAGGCATGTGCCATCATGCCTGGCTAATTTTTGAATTTTTAGTAGATACAGGGTTTTGCCATGTTGACCAGCTTGGTCTTCAACTCCTATTCTCAAGTGATCCACCTGCCCCAGGCTCTCAAAGTGCTGGGATTACAGGCATGAGCCACCGCACCTGGCTACTCTGTGTTTTTATAAAGATTCTGCATGTGCTACTAGGATGAGAACTTGTGATCTAATCCATTCCTTCATTGCAAAAATGAGATTATCTAAACCCTGGAAGTAAAATGATGGGCACAAAGACCAGTGAATTTTCTAAACTTTTCAACCTTTTTTTTTGTTTGTTTGTTTTTAACATTCTAGCAATCCCTTAGGGTTCTTATTAAACCTCTTCTACTAATTCAAGACTCTAGAACATCATAATGGCATTTTCTTTGTTAGTTCTAGTAACACACTGGTTCAGAGTTCTTTGATCAGCTCTGACAATTGCAGCAGTGAATAACTTAATCAATGGACTCTAGCATTCAGGGACAGTAGCAGAAATGTGATTCCTATAAGGATGTGGAATAATCCCTGCCTACATGCTAATCAAGAGTTGAAATTTTTCATGGGAAAAAGATCCAGAAGAGAGAGATTGTCAAAGCTTGAAGGAACCTTAGAAAACTTCTCATCAAACTGTTTCATTTTACAAATGAGAAAAATAAGACCCTCAAGGAGGCTAGGACTTGCCCAAGGCCACACATGGCAAGGCCAGAGTAGAATGCAGGGCTCTTACCACAGACACTCTACAGGATGAAATGAGAAGAGATGGATGGAAAGAAGTCTTGAGACAGAGGTCATGAGAGGAAAATATACCACAAAAATTTGTGAAAACAGAAAAATAAGGATAGACATGATCAAGAAACCATTAAAAGGAGACCAAAAAAAAAAATTGAAGAAATGACTCCTCCCCTCAGATTCTTACAGCAAAAACTACTTTCAGTACAAGAAAATTAGGCATTAGGAGTAATGCAGAAAAGCCAGGTTCCCCTTTTCTCCACACATCAGGCTTCTTGTTGGTCATGGTACAATCAGTCACTTGATCTTTACTGGAACCCAAAACAAACACAGGCAGTAAAAGGACAAAGGAGAAACCCAGGGAGTTTGTATTGACAGAAAACTCTTCTCAGATTGCATCAATCTTGGAAGAACTTTCTAGAGCCTCACTAACAGAAATCTATCCACAAGCCTTGCAGACTCATTGCCTTCCCTGCTCACC
Organism: Homo sapiens; assembly: GCF_000001405.40. Taxonomy (NCBI): domain Eukaryota; kingdom Metazoa; phylum Chordata; class Mammalia; order Primates; family Hominidae; genus Homo; species Homo sapiens. The sequence continues at coordinate 117,619,747 of NC_000007.14, read as the reverse complement.
CTGGTGGCTTTCTTATTCTTATGTTATTAGAAACACACAGTTGAACAGGGTAGACAGCTAATGGAAACAAGGATGGTTTATCTGCTGCTTCACTTGGAGAATTAAAGAAACAGAATAATATTCACATGCTCAGAATTAGGCATCAGGAGTAAGGCAGAAAAGCCAGGTTCCCCTTTTCTCTACACATCAGACTTCTTGTTGGTCATTGTACAATCAGTCACTTGATCAACAAAACAAGCAGTAAAAGACAAAAAGTAGTCTTTTAGTTGTGCTCACTATGTGATAGACAGTTGTGAAACAAACTGAATTGTCAATGGCTTCTTTCCAACAATGTGATTATGAGTGTGAGTAATTTATCAATCGCTAGATGGCTTGGTATGGTTCATTTTGAAGCATCACCTTGTCACCCTTTCTAGATCTTATTTATTTAATCTTTATTTTTTCATACAGATAGGAATCTTTAGTGCTTATTTAAGCTACATAATGCTTAAGTAGCTAAGAATAGGAGAAAGACAAGACTTATGTTACTAAAAATGGAAGGCATCTTATGAGTACAAAGAAAATAAACCAGCACATAACTTTGTTTTGGAGGAAAAGATGTAAGATAATTGCTTTAGCAATAACAACTATAAATTCATATAGTATTTGAGGTATGGAGTTTTAAAAAATTAACACTTTTCTTTTCACCCCATCTATAGAATGGTATGAGAAATATAATTGAAATGAATAGAGATAGATAGCCACAATTTATGTTAAAATAAAGAGTGAATTAGTAATAGAAATAAACAATCTTTAAAACATTGAGATATCAATTGAAATAACTGGAAATCCCCTAACATGGGGTGTTCCAATAGGAATTATTAAATTAGATTCTGATAATTTTACTATTTTTTAAATTGCAGGGGTGATTCACAAACTATTAAACTATATTATTCATAAAGTGACAATGTTCAGATGACTTTTTATCCAACCTGCCAAATAGGGCCAGACACATTAGTAAGTAGAATAGAAGCTTTGTCCTGTTTGAATAGTCTCCTGAGACCCTGGGTATATTTTAAGGAGATACTGAACGGAAACTCATGCCTTAAAATGTCAAGCCTACTGAAAGATATTCTATAATTATGTTTTATGAACATATGATGGTGTCAAGATGATAGTTGGATACATCATTTAGAGAGCAGGATAGAGGTCTAAACTAGAGACACAAATTTATGATTCATCAAGAGATGGTTTATTTTCTTTGTGTGTGTGTGTGTGTGTGTGTGTGTGAGACGGAGTCTCCTCTATTGCTCAGGCTGGAGTGCAGTGGCAGGATCTCGGCTCACTGAAACCTCCACCTCCCAGGTTCAAGCGATTCTTGTGCCTCAGCCTCTCAAGTAGCTGGGTGCATGCCACCACGGCCAGGTAATTTTTGTATTTTTAGGAGAGATGGGGTTTCACCACGTTGGCCAGGCTGGTCTCAAACTCCCGACCTCAAGTAATTCGCCTGCCTCGGCCTTCCAAGATTCATCAAGATATGGTTTCTGAAACATGGGTTTAGAAAATAACAGCTAGAGAGTGTCAGTAGAACAGGGCTGAGATATAGCTGATGTTTAGAGATCTGAAAGAGAGAAGGGGCCAGGAAAAGGGACCAAGGAAGAGCCAGAGAGGTAGAAAGAAAATGAAGTGGGAGTAGTGTCATGGAAGCAAGAGAGAAAGTATCACAAGAAGAATAATTTGTCCATGGCATAAATACTGCTGGAGCTGTTAAGGGAGACAAGGAAATTGGCTCTGGCAAGATGTTGATCCTGAGTTATGGGGCTGATGGAAATAAAATGAAGTAGGTTGTGGAAAGAATGGGTTGAGGAGAACAATGAAATGAAAGTGGATTGAGAAAAAAATGGAAGTAGATTGAGGAAAAGATGGAAAGTGGTCCTTTCTCAAATATTTTGCTATATGTAGGTCAAAGAAATGGGGTAGTAGCTGGAGATCAAGGGAAAGTATTTTTATGCTAATGAGAAAGATCCCACAAAGAGGGAGGTATTGCATATTACTTGCTCCTGAATATAGGAGCAAGAACACAGGCAGAAGGTGGTGCATGAGGAGAGGTGCAGTAGGCTGGTACAACTGGTGGAGAGAAATGAGAAAATTCTTCCTGGTTGCATCAATTTTTTTTTTTAGATTTTTAAAAAAAGATATAATAAAGTCACTGGCTGCAGGGGTTGGAATTATTGGAGCACCTGAGAAGGGAGAAGGAAGAAGAAGGTGGGAAAAAGCTATCTTAGGGAATATAATAAGGAATTTCGTAGGAAAATCTAATAAAAAAGGTTGTTGTACAGTTTCGTGTACCAATATTTGAGATATGTGATCATAAACACAATGCAACTTAACGTTAAATGTTATCTAAACATTACCTTTATTAGTTGAGAGCTAAAGAAAGCTAGGCACTTGGGCATAAGCACCAGGTGGAAGGTTAAAAAAAAAAAAAGCCACACTGTCATTTTTATAACTTCAGAATTCTGTTGACATTTGACTCTGTGTTTTTGTCTAAACTAGGCCAGATGGGTAAATAAACTATTCTTTCCAAGTATAAACATTTTTTTCTGAAAGACTAAAAGCATACATCAAACTAAACACCTTGTTTACTCCATTGTAAACTCAACTCTAAACTCAGCTAACAATTCAGTAAGTAAAATGACAACACTGAGTTTTTACTTCAGAAGTCACAAGGACCTTTAGGATTAACATCATATAAACGTAAAATTTGAGGGCATAGTCCTATCTATTTCCTACTCTCAACATATGCTGAGGTGAAAACAAAAAAGTTACTGTATAAGTTTAGCAATGGCATGGGTGACAGCACTATGATGGGAATCATTAACCAGATAAATGCCCATAAACACCCAGGAAAGGCTACTTGTGCTATTTGGCAGGGAAATCACTCACATATTAGCTTTGATATTCAAACAAAAGAATGTGATTTTTTTAAATGTGATCAAATGCAAATATTGATATTTTTCATAGACTGTATTATAACACAATAGGTCCTTGCAAAGATCCTTCAATGCCACAAGATGAAAGGCACGATATCAAAGCACAGGTCACAAAGCCAGGATGCACATGTGAAAAACTAGAGGAATGAAAATACCTTACAGAAACTTTCATGGAGATTGAACACGCAGAGTAGAAATGCACCAAACAGAGGTTTTGACATCAATGTGTAGAGGCTACTATGTAAACCAAGAAAATTAATACAGCAAGGACAAAGGAATTGTACACACCCATGGTGAAAAGATATTTTTAGGTAAAGAAACATGTAAGTGCATGAGGAGCTTAAATGTAAAGTCAAAGTTGTAGAAAGTTGGGCAAAGAATTAAATAGATGTAAGCACAATATTTATTTAATATTCTCCTGCTGTTTCCCAACAGAAACATTTCTATACATTTATGAGACCCAACTCCAAAAGCATACTGGAATGGAATTAAAGACCGAACTACAGAAGCTAAAGAGAGCTGATCAAACTAAAAAAAAAAGTTAAAGGTAAAGAAACCAACTTTAGTATAAATCATGTTCCAATTAAATTACAGCTCAATGGGTTATGAAAATGCTTAAAGAAAATAAGAAGACACATGAACCAGAAGAGAGCATTAAAAGGGTTTTCTTTTTCCTGGAGATATTTTTTATAATGATGTTTGTTCTGACAGGAGTTGATCATACAAATTTTATAGCTGAATAAATGTGTGTGGTTTGGGAACATGAACACTGTCTCAGAGAACAAGGAAAGAAACTTAAGCAAAAAGTATAATTTTAAAAAGAGTATAATAATAGTGTTGCACAGTCATTCCTAACTTGGGTTTCTAAACCATCTACAAAAGCAGTGGTGAATGAATAATTTTAAATACAGTAGTACAAAAATACTTTAAAAATTCAATGATGAAGCTATCCAGACCAACCATATAGTCTGATTGAAAAATATGCATTTGATTTTTTAAACAAAAATGAGTAAATGTGCATCATTTCCTTTAATTTCTCAGTCCCGCTGCAATGGGATTTGTGCCCCTGATATGGTATTAGCACATAAGCATTACTATAATATTAATGGCTCTGCATTCTAGAAAACCAAAACAAGAGAAATAACACAACTAAAATGTGGTCTTTGTACACACTAATAAAGTATACAAATGTGTGGCAATATTTATCAAGCAGAAAGACAGAAGGCAATGATAAACACTTTAGGAATAAGAAAGGTGCTATCACTAAATAATGTGAAAAAAATTTAAATAATAGTATGAAAATGTTATGCTGCTAAATTTGAGAACCCAATATAAGGAAGGAGTTCTTAATCAAGATACCAAAAGCACAAAACATAAAGGAAAAGACAATAAATTGAACTTTATTAAACTTAAAAGCTTCTTTTCATCAAAAGACTCTATAAGCCAAGCCACTGACTGAGGGATTATGTTTGAAATGTATAGAGCTGATGATCAATCCATAATTCATAAATTCCTACAATTTAATTAAGGAAGAAAAAACTAGGTGACAAATGAGTAATCAACATGAATAAGAAATTAATGTAAGAGAACAGCAAAAGCCAATAATTATGTATGCAGCTTCCCTATATTTTTAGTAATCACTTCACATCTACCAGACACCAAGTGTTGTTGAAGATACATAGCTATGAGAATTCTTGTACTCTCTTGATGGGGATATATATCAGTACAACAGACTTGAGGACAATTTGGCACCACTCAGTTAAGCATGGGTGAATCCTATGACCCAGCAATACAACCCCTAGGTATTTCTCCTAGAAAATCCTGAATAAGGAAACAGGTGAAAGAATGCTCACTGCAGTATTAGATCTTCATAGTGGCTATCTATGAGAAGGAAAGAAGAGATAAGGATTTAATGACAGATACACAGTGACCCTCAATTTATCTGTAATGTTTTATTTCTTAAGCTCAATATACGGTATATAGTTCTTCCTCATGCTATTACTCATACTTTGTTACTTGTCTGAATTTTTTTCATAAAAGTTAAAAAGATGATAAGACTTACCAAGCTATCCACATCTATGCTGGAGTTTACAGCCCACTGCAATGTACTCATGATATTCATGGCTAAAGTCAGGATAATACCAACTCTTCCTTCTCCTTCTCCTATAGATGCACAAAAGACGTAAATGAACCTCATGTTATTTCTCTCTTCTGTGAACGACTTTATTCACACTTCTCCTAGGGCACATATCACATTAAATTTACATTTCAATTTTATGCTAATTTTAACAATTTTTAAATCTCAGTTCATCACAGCATCTACTAATAGAATAATGCTCTGCATATAGTAAGTATTCAACCAGGATTTTAAATCAAAGAGCGATTGAATATTAGGAAAGTGTTGCCCTTTTTAAAAAATGTTACTGGTATTGGAGGTGTTGTTGGTAATGGGTAGGTACCATATTTGTCTCTTCTACTATTATTCTATAAGTAATAACGGTAACATATATTAGAATGGGCAATGGGGAAAAGAGATCCTGTATCCAGATGAGCTGCTTTACAAAGAGACCAAAAGCAGGGGAAGAGTGTCCAAACAGCATCTGCAAGATGTTTAGGTGTGTTCTGTGCCTTTGCAAGGAGGACCTTTGCTAATTGCATGCTATTGGGAAGTAAGTGGACTTAGAATTTCACCGGACAGTCAGAAAACTAACAGTTCTGCCATTTGGAAAGAGAAAAGATTACCCTCTATGCAAAAAAAAAAAAAAAAAAAAAAAAAGATTACTGTACCTGGGAAGAACAACACTTAAGTGTTAAATTACAGTAATTTTTTTTTTAGGGCTAAAGAGGACAGCTAATTAAAATTCATGTGTTCAGTATTATGGCCATAGAAATTCTCTAAGAGGAATGTTCTTAAATTATTATAAAGTTAGACTATCAAGTCCCAATCAAGAGTTCTTACATCTGTAATGCATGATAAAATTGTCAAAAGATTCTACAATTGGGAGAAATAATTCATCTTATTATTAATTGAAATTTTTGTTTCTGCAATTCCTCTAACAGAAGGCATAATATACACAGCATATATCTGCATGTAGTATTAAATTATTTTCATATAGGCAAGATTTATCTAGACCCCAATATATTACTGTTCTGAAGGTTAAGCTGAGAAGATAAAATTTTAATAATAAGTCAGATAACATTTATTTAGTATTTACCATGGACCAGGCACTATACTAAGTGTTTTGGACAAATTATTACATTTACTATTCACCCCACACCTATGGAATAGGTAATATTATTGTGTCTATTTACACTTGAGGAAAATGAGGGGCTTAGATAGTTAATTAATGTTTGCAAGTTAACACAGCTGAAGACCAATTGAGCCAGGGATAATAATAGCTGGGTGGCCAACATCCACTCCGGCTGAGCATCTGATTTGATTGGTAAGTTCTGTACTATAATGATTGTTAAATGTTTTGATTATTGCCCCTAATAAATCAAGACTCAATCACACTCAACCATGTTATAGCATGTGTTATATTGGTTTGAATTAATTGTTAACAAATCTTCATTTATGTAATTCAGCCTTCTTTGATCTTATTTTCAAATAACTTAAAAGAATTTTTTAAAGTTGCTTAAAATTACAGTACTGATGAGGATTAGTACATTTGCCTGCCCATGTATATTCCTTTCATAGAGTCATTTCCCACTGCCCTAGCTGAGAGAACAACAAAGGTGGTGAACCCACTATCCTCATAGCAGCAGAGTAGACTGCAGTTGGACCCCTGAGCCAAAAGGAAGCTGTTTTCTGTTCTCTCCAGGACTTTGAGTTTGTACAGAGGAACTCTCCTGTAAATTCAGGAGGCCAGAATGGAGACACTACATAAAGTCAATGTGGCATAGCCCTGGTAGACCAGAAAAACCAGTCTTCAGAGAGAGAAAGGAATGAAGCAACCACAAAAAGGAATGGACCCAGGACAGATATAGACTCAAGAAGAAGAGCTGCAGCTGACTCTCTTGTGCCTGTTGCAGCTTCTTTAAGAGTCGAATGGCACCACCTTCTCGGTGTTCCATGAGGCCTTTCTGTAACTCCAGCAAATGCCTGCTTTCGGTTTGAGTAGAATTCTGTTCCTACAATCAAATGATCCTACAGATTTGGCATTGATTTGGCATTTGCTCTGCCAGTATTCACTGTCACATATAAGAAGTTATTTCAACACTTATCATAAATACTCAGAAATTCAAATTCTTAAATTAGAGAAACAAATTTACCTACATAGATTTTTATTTTACTTATTATGAAATACTTTGTTTTTCACTAAAGATCCTAAAATCAATCCAGAACATTTGTATTTGAAAAACATGGCACTTTCTTTTCTTCTTTTTCTTTTGAAAAATGTGACACTGTCTTTCTTTTCTGTGACAGTTTTTCTTTGTGTAAAACTCACAATTAGATAACAAATTTTATCTAGTAGAGATTTAAAAAAAACAAAACTTACCGACAAGAGGAACTCTGTGTGTGTGTGTGTGTGTGTGTGTGTAAATGCGGATGTTTCATTTCCCCTCTTTAGGAATCTATTAATTTTGAAGCTAGGACCCTTCACCAATATGAGTATGAAGAGGTGACATATTTCCCCTTCAATCACAGAATTGCTATCTGACAATCTGTGTGCATCGGTTTTTAAAACTGTGAAAACAGGGATAATACTATATATATATATGTATATATATATATATATATATATATATATACATATATATATATATATCCGATTTCAAGGAAATTATTTGTTTAACAATAAAACAATGGAAATTCAAAGAAATCACTTGTTCAATAATAAACCAACAAATTTGTTAATTACTAAACTCTAAAGATATCAAAAATTGATAACCTATAGAATGCAGCATTTTATTCATTGAAAATTTTTTACTTAAATGCTTAGCTAAAGTTAATGAGTTCATAGTACCTGTTGTTAAAATGGAAATGAAGGTAACAGCAATGAAGAAGATGACAAAAATCATTTCTATTCTCATTTGGAACCAGCGCAGTGTTGACAGGTACAAGAACCAGTTGGCAGTATGTAAATTCAGAGCTTTGTGGAACAGAGTTTCAAAGTAAGGCTGCCGTCCGAAGGCACGAAGTGTCCATAGTCCTTTTAAGCTTGTAACAAGATGAGTGAAAATTGGACTCCTGCCTGTGAAATATTTCCATAGAAAACATTGCAAATAACATAAACACAAAATGTAATTTCATAATATCTTGTACCTGAAAAAGACTAAATTAGAATAATCATATCACAAATGTCATTGGTTAAAAAGCTTTTTTTCACACTGGTGCCATTCTTTGAATAGATATGATTTGTTATTTTATTAATGAGTTACCCTCTTTTTTTACTTGGCTACCAGAGATGGGAACTTAAAAAATTACCACCAATATTTATTCCTCTTTCTTGGCTACCACTGGGAGTTTTCTGGCTAATTCTAAATTAATTCTTACTAAAAAAATTTTCTTTTAAGACAATTTTTTCAAGTATCTAAATTAAGGAAGTTTATGTGACTTGATTTAGCTAATAATCTACAAAGCAGAAATATACTGAAAAAGTATTGCCTGAAAATGCACCCACACTAAGGCTGTCACTGCAAAATGTGATTCCCTAACAGCTCAAGTAGAGTTTGGGGGCACACGAAATGGCAGCTCCAACACATGAAGAAAGGGTGTCTGAAGACAACAAGCCAAAGGGACAAATTTGGTCAAGTATCATTTGGGAACCCAGAGAAACCTTTAGTAATAGCAGCACTATCCTTGTTTAATTTGACTGATATAAGTTTATTATAAATGAATGTCCTGTACACCAACTGTGGTAAGATTCTATATACCTATTTTAAAACCAAAATGAAGTCACATGGTCATTAATTAAGAAAAAAAATCCATGTGTACTTTGTAATATAGTTTCCTTTTATATACACATGCATGTAGAAAAAAATTATTGTTATATGATGTAAAAGTTTAAAAGCAGAATTTTTTTTAAGTAGATTAACAATAAAGAATCTCAAATAGCTCTTATAGCTTTTTTACAAGATGAGTATCGCACATTCACTGTCATACCTTCAGATTCCAGTTGTTTGAGTTGCTGTGAGGTTTGGAGGAAATATGCTCTCAACATAATAAAAGCCACTATCACTGGCACTGTTGCAACAAAGATGTAGGGTTGTAAAACTGCGACAACTGCTATAGCTCCAATCACAATTAATAACAACTGTAAGATCAAAGAAAACATGTTGGTGAGTAAACATTTTCACATTGCAAAGTGGACAAAGTGTGTCAGTGATTTATTTCTTTTTTTTTTTTTGCATACTTTAAACACCTCAAACTTTTTTTTATTTTTTTTATTATACTTTAAGTTTTAGGGTACATGTGCACATTGTGCAGGTTAGTTACATATGTATACATGTGCCATGCTGGTGCACTGCACCCACTAACTCGTCATCTAGCATTAGGTATATCTCCCAGTGCTATCCCTCCCCCCTCCCCCCACCCCACAACAGTCCCCAGAGTGTGATATTCCCCTTCCTGTGTCCATGTGATCTCATTGTTCAATTCCCACCTATGAGTGAGAATATGCGGTGTTTGGTTTTTTGTTCTTGCGATAGTTTACTGAGAATGATGTTTTCCAATTTCATCCATGTCCCTACAAAGGACATGAACTCATCATTTTTTATGGCTGCATAGTGTTCCATGGTGTATATGTGCCACATTTTCTTAATCCAGTCTATCATTGTTGGACTAAATACTCTCCCCATTCTATTCCTAGTCAGAAAGTAGCCATTTGCAAGTACATTTTTCATAGGCTCTATGAAAATTTTAAAAATTGTTTAGGTCACTGATAACATTTTTGAAGTTTGAAAACATGGTGTTCTTTGATCTTTGGATATTTTCATTTCCCAGACACTTTAAAGTATTGCATGATAAATACATTTTAAGTGAATATTAATTTAAAATAAACTATTTTTAAATAATTTTAGTATGAAGGTGAATCTTAGGATTTATTTTGGTTAGACAGTTTTTGAAAGCTGGGCATTCGTCTTGGAGTCTTTTGATTCAGAAAGTTCTGCTTGAAATACAAGCTTGTCATTTAGGCAAGCTATCTAACCTTTCGGAGCATATTTTCTCATGCTTAACATTGAAATAAATCATACTTAATAAATTTCTATATTTCTACATTACACCAAATACATACATTTTTAAAAGGTACAAAGTCCGCTAACATGTACTTCACAATAATCCATTTGAATAAAGTATAAAGTAACTGTCTGCAGAAAGGATTAAAAAAAACCACTTTATAATATCCATATGCTGTTCAGTGAGCCAGTTCTCTACCCGTTACCATAAGTGACACATGTATTTTCAACTGATATAACTTTAGAACTGAAAGGGACCATTATCAGGTTTATATTCCCCATTCTACAAGTGACAAATCTGAGACCCTTCAAGATAAGTGTCTGCTCAAGGTAAAATAGTGGGAATCTGTAGAAAATAACCAAGATTTTCAATTTTCACTATACAGTGCTCCAATCCGGAAAGCAAATTTGTCAGAACATTGTCAAAGTTAGAAAATAGAATGAAGATTACATGAGGTATCAAAATACTCAAACTCAAAGAAGCAAAGAACAGAACCATGGGTAACAGGACAGGGGAGAGAGGGAAATGGGGAGATACTAATCAACAGGTATAAAATTTCAGTAGTGCAAAATGAATAAGTTCCAGAGATCTGCTGTGCAACATTTACCCATGGTGAACAATATTGTATTTTACACATAAAAATCTGTTAAGAGGGTAAATCTCATGTTAAGTGGACTTGCCACAATAAAATTCAAATTTTAAAAAGAGAAAAATAATAGAAAATAGAGTGAACAGAGACTTTTTTTTAAAAAAAGAAAATTTATAGGTATGCTTTATTTTGTGCAACAGATCTGCTTCTGAAATATCATGAATAGAATGAAATTTCATTTGTTTGAAATTAAGTATAACCAGAGGTAAAACATAAGTATAACCAGAGGAGCTCACAATTTGAAGGACCCCTGTGATTAATTATTTAACAAAATCAAAATTAACCAAATTTGTACTGTATTTGGATTGTCATATATTATGCTTCCTTAATATGAGACTCTCTTACAAATAAAATGGGTAAATTAATATAAAAGACCTCTGCCTAATCACTTGTGAAACAACAACAAATGAATCTTAGCATTAAAAGTTGAACAGGGCCTGGTGCAGTGGCTCACACCTATAATTCCAGCTCTTTAAGAGGCTGAGGCAGGTGGATCACTTGAGGTCAGGAGTTCAGGAGTTCAAGACCAGCCTGGCCAACGTGGTGAAACCCCATCTCTAGTAATAATACAAAAATTATCCAGGCATGGTGGTGCGCGCCTGTAATCCCAGCTACTCTGGAGGCTGATGCGAGAGAATCGCTTGAACCGAGGAGGTGGAGGTTGCAGTCAGCCAAGATTGCATCACTGCACTCCAGCCTGGGCAACAGAGTGAGACTCCATCCCAATTAAAAAAAAAAATTGAGCAGAAATGATTCAAACTGGCATAAAAGAAAAAATTTGAGAGCCATCACATATGTCAAAAATGTTAATTTATAAAATGACTATTTAAAAATTAACCCTTCCAGAGGAGTTCTGAAGTGAGCCTCAAATAATTATCAAGAGGCACCATTGGCAAATACTTTCACAATCAAGTTAAGAGGTTCACATTCCAGTTTTTATCTGATGTAATAATATTATATTTGGGACCAGTTATTTACACTCTTAACATGAAAAACAAATGTCAGCATTTAGTGACTCAGGACATGTTTCTTTGAATGCATGAATTCAACGCATGGATTTAAATATTCCATCAGCTGCTTCTAAGTTATATCTTTAAACAGAACAACTGAAGGATATCCAAAATGCCAAAGTTCACTTGGGACAGTAAATATATTTGTTTGTGTCAATCATTTCAGATGAGGCAAACTGACAGTCTGGTTTTTCTGCACCTGCCAATGTTGGTTATATATACATACTTATGTGATAATCCTTCTTTTGTTTTATATGTTCAATCAAATACAGTATTATTATTTTGCAGGGGTAGGGAAAGAGCAAGAGCGGACAATGACTCATCCCAACATGGGCAACATCCTATTCCAACTGTTTCTCCAAGGAGATCACTGAGACTGTGGCATTTGCTCTCTGGAGCTTGACCTAAACCAGTCAGGAAGCTCAGGAAGCTGTGCTTAAACCTGGTCCAACAACCACAGCTTACAACACTCCTTAAATCCTGTCACTTATGGAGACCTAATGTCCCAAGGTCACTTTCACCTCCTCCACTCCCCTTTTCTTCTCCATCCTCACCACCAATCAGTCACCCCAACCCAAAGAGTCAGCCTCTGAGCCAGCCTGCCCTGGAGGCCTATTCACATCTATCACTCAGGGACAGCCCTCATAAAACCCTAGATTTTTTCTTTCCCCTCTCTTTTGTTCTAAAACTTATCTTTGCTTCTGTCCCTTCCTTATGGTCCTTACTGTGGGGGAATGGGCTAGCTAATCTGTGCCAAAGTGTTCATGGGTGAGGCTAGTTTCAAGTGTAACCCACCCAGGGAATCCATCTTCATTCTAATACAGGCCTTTTGGGGGGAGGTTGGCTTCCATCAAATAGTGATGCCAATGCCAAAATGTCACACTTTGTGGCCAGTGATTTTGGGAAAGATGGTCCTTTGTGCCTCTCAAATCACTCCCAAGTAGACAGCTATTACATCTAAATGTGGGATTGCCTCAGGTTTGGGCCAGGTAAGCAGTTCTGACTTATTATTGAATTTACTAAACTTATGTCTATTTTGAAGGCTTTGGATAATTACAAAATTAATGCAATAGACAGGACTTCAACCCTCAATCAAATAAAAAATGAAAACAAAATCACATTTGCTTTTGTTATTGTTTTTTTAATAATACAGACATACTTAACGGTACTTATTTTTACATACCTGGATGAAGTCAAATATGGTAAGAGGCAGAAGGTCATCCAAAATTGCTATATCTTTGGAGAATCTATTAAGAATCCCACCTATAATATACAAGATGACAAATTCCTCAAAAAACACTAATTTTTTAAAGATATATCAATATATTCAATACTAAGTTTGGATCACAGTAGACGCATTCAGAACCCAAATAAGAATTAGCAAATAGAATCAGATAGACTTAGAAATTTTTGTTTCTTTCCAAACATTCTAAATAATTATGTGTTCAAGTTATTGTCTTTTACTTTTAAACCTTTTTAAAAGTTTCAGATTCTTGTAAGATTCAAGTAACGACCAATTTCTCTGAAATAGCTTTTACTATAAATTATGTCAGGAATAGGTGGGTACTCATCCTGCTTTACAATCTTACTTTTGCAACCTTGCATTTAATGACAACTTACTGTTGTCATCATTTCCCTTCCATTTGTATTCTATAACATAGGGGTCTCCTTCTCCTCTGACTTCCATACCTTTTTGACATACCTCTACCGAAACCCTGGCTGCTCTCTCTCCCTGCCTGCCCCACTGTCTTGTCCTCCTTTGTCATACTCTCTTTCTGCCCTCTTCGCAGACAATCTACATTTCAACCTGTCATCTGAATCACGGATTCACATTTGTAAGGTTGACAACTTGTTGCTTCAATTAAAAAAGGTTATATACAAGTGTCCACTTTGTACCAGGCACAATGCTAGGCACTGAAATTACTGAGGTGAATAAGCCATGCTCCTTGCCCTTGAGGAATTCATTGTCTAGACAGGAATTAAACAAACAATTAGATAAAATGTAACATAATACTGTACAAATAAAGTGATATTGAATCTTATCATTTACCCCCCATAAACTGCAGGATAAAGTCCAAAATTCCTAGTTTAATATTTAATGCCTTGCATAATTTGGCCTCAACCCACCTACCTAGTACAAGCTTCCTCTGCTCAAATATCCTGTTTCAGCCAAACTGGTCTATTCTTTAAACACACTCTACACTTTCCTACCTCCCTGCTTTCCACATGCGGTTCCCTCCACCTGAAACCCCTTTCCCCTCAGCTCTCATTGTCAAAATCTATGTTTCCTCCCTTTCTCAACTCAAATGCCCCTGCTGCAAGAAAGCATCAGTGTTTCCTCCAGCTGGGATTAATCTCTTCCTCCTCTGGACATACTTGATACATCTTGTTTGCACCTCTGTTATAATGACTATATGCATGTCTTATATCACAGGAACTTATAAACATATCATAACTCTTTTTCTAGGTTATAAATTGCTAGAGGTCAGTGGGTTCATGCCACATTTATTTTGTATCACCCATACCCCAAGCAAAAAGGCCTTATATGTAGGAATTATTTAATACATATTTATTAATACATTCTTTAGCATATTTAATTAAACATATTTGTATATTTTCATGATAATCAAAAATTGAAAAAATAGCCATTGATATTTATAAACAGTGTTTAGAAAATGAAATTTGCTTTGGTGGAAAGAAAAAACCATCCTGGTGCTTATTATATTTCAAATGGTTTGGAACCAACTATGAACAGCGTTAAAGGGAATGAGGAGCTTGGAAAAGAAGAAGTGGAATGGCCAGTGCACCCTCTGTGGGAACAAAACCCCACAGAAGGGAACCACGGGGAACTTATATTGATTTCCCATTGGCTATGTAGCAGGCAAGTAAATTGCCTTGTTTCATTCTCACAAAGATCTTCTGAAATATTCTTTTCTTCACTTAACAGGTGAGGAGGCCAAGGCTCAGAAGAGTCACTTGCCCATGATCACTGCTCTTATAGCGCCAACTCAGAGCTCAGGCAATGCTCATGTTCTTTCCACTGTGCCTCATCGCTCATGTCTGACTCTTCTAGAAATGTGGGCAAATCCCCTGCCTTCTGTGGGTCTCAGATTTCCATAAAAAATAAAATCAATGGATCAACTTAATTAGACATCTTGAGTCTAAAATTCTTAGCTCCAAAACAGAGGATGGTGATGAGTATATGCAAATGCGGCAATATTTCAGCAACACACATGGGCTTCAGAATAAATATCAAGATCTTCCTACATGTTAATAACACTGAAATTTTGTTACCCAGAAAATATAATGGGTTTTTCTTATCTTGAGTTTTTTAGATTTCTGAAAATTTTAGTCTTGGAATTTATTCCTTGCTTTATATCAAATGTTTCTGTGTCAACTCCTCCTCTCACCTGTGACCTTCTCCAGGGCAAGAACTGTGCCTTACTCATCTTTTCATACCATAAATGCCTCAACAGAGAAAGTGCTCACAGGTTGCTATGAAAAAACTTGGGGAAATCCTTATTAACCTCAGTCTTTAAGTGCAAATTTGTTTAATGAGGAATCAACATAATTGATTTCTTTCAAAGTACCTTATTAGTTTTTAAAATTTTTAGTACCTTTATTCTGCTACTCTGACTTTCTATTACTTCAAATATGATGATATAAAAATAGTTTTAAAATACATTTGGGATCCCCCTACCATATAACTTTGAGCAGTTACATGAAATTAGATTATTCTACCCCATCAAAAGACTTAATCAATAGAAAAAATATATTTTCCTTGATCACTTCAAATCTCCTGCCCTTTTGAGCAATACTATATATTGGCAACAAGATGCCCAGAAGAGAGCTAGACCAAATATTTGAAAAGAGAGGTATGACTGACCCATAAGGGCCTTCTTGTTCTGCTACAGTCCCACCAACATCACATTCTTACAAACCAAGCTACTCTAATTATCTAACACAGAAATATTAGGAGCAACAATATATGATAACCTATAATATCTGAGACATGTGCATGCCAGTCAAATGGAGGTTCAACAAAGGGCACATGCCTCTGTGCAAAAGCCAGCACTGCCATTAGAAAACCAACAAAACCACAGGCCCTATTGATGGTGGATCAGCAGTTTCATTTCTTAGACCTAGTAAAGTACCTGCTTTCAACGTGTTGAGGGTTGACATAGGTGCTTGAAGAACAGAATGTAACATTTTGTGGTGTAAAATTTTCGACACTGTGATTAGAGTATGCACCAGTGGTAGACCTCTGAAGAATCCCATAGCAAGCAAAGTGTCGGCTACTCCCACGTAAATGTAAAACACATAATACGAACTGGTGCTGGTGATAATCACTGCATAGCTGTTATTTCTACTATGAGTACTATTCCCTTTGTCTTGAAGAGGAGTGCTGTAAAGCAAATAGGAAATCGTTATTTGGCAGCCAAAGTTACTTACTGAATTTCCAATACATGTAAATGGAACTAAACTTGAGTCTAAATAAATACAATATTTTGCATTAGAAGAGCATGCACCCTTAACCTCAAAATCATACTATTATTGCAAGAAAATAGATATGTTTTCTCACTATTGATAGAGATTGAGTTGTTCTTTATTAAATTAAAAAATTTGAAGAAAACCCTAAATATGTAATGTTATTTCAAATATTTTTATTGTGTTTCACAGAAACTGAACAGAACTATATTCTTTAGAAACTGCAGGAGCTGCACATGCTCACAATTTATTCATTTTATTTTATTTTATTTTAGATATAGGATCTCACTATATTGTCCAGGCTGGAGTGCGGTGGCTACTCACAATGATACAACACTACAGCCCTGAACTCCTGGGCTCAAGTGATCCTCCTGCGTCAGCCTGTGGAGGAGCTAGGACTACAGGAATGTGTCACCTCACCCAACTAATGGTCATCATTTAAACAAAAAACCTTATCTTTCCACTACCATAATGCTTGGGAGAAATGAAACAAAGTGGATTACAATACATACAAACATAGTGGATTACAATATTTAATCAACAGAAATAAAACACAATCTACACAATAGGACATGGAATACTCACTTTCCAAGGAGCCACAGCACAACCAAAGAAGCAGCCACCTGGAATGGAACAAGACACAGTTGATTTTTTTTCTAACATCTTCACCTATTCCTCCCATGCCCACATCTAAATTCACATCACACCATTTGATGTGTGTACCAATATCAAGGTACACACAATTTCATCTTCCTTTGCTTTGTGTTCCTGGGTCCAGCAGCTGTACTAGGTGTTCTAAGTACTATTATTTGTGATGAGACCACATTAAGTTAATGGAATTCAAATTTCACTGAAGTAAATTCTCTGCCATTTCTCTCCTTTACTCAATAGAAACTATTGAACCTCACAAGAAAGCCAAGATCACAGCTGAATGTTTTAAATAATAAACATTTTTTAAAGAAACTAATCTCAGACTGCTGGCAGATAATTAATCTGTTTGCTATAAATAATTTTATTAGCCATTCAATGATTATAGGGGACTAATACTTGTGAAATCAATTAATTATTGGAAAAGGTGAGATTAATATTAATGGAAATGAATTATGAGTTTCAGGCCAGGCACAGTGGCTCACACTTGTAATACCAACACTTTGGGAGGCCAAGGCAGGCAGATCACTTGAGGCCAGGAGTTTCAGGCCAGCCTGGCCAATGTGGCAAAACTCATCTCTACTAGAAATATCAAAAACTATTAGCCAGGCCTGGTGGTGTACACCTGTGATCCCAACTACTCAGGTGGCCGAGGCACCAGAATTGCTTGAACACAGAAGGTAGAGGTTGCAGTGAGCCAAGATCACACCACTGCTGCACTCCAGACTGGACGACAGAGTGAGATTGTCTTAAAAAAAAAAGTTTCAGCAGTGTAAAAAGTCACAGTTTATGAATAAAGATAAGGTACATTCAGGTTAAAACATATTATTGGTACTAGGACTACATAGAATCTCTATAGCTTTCTCAAGGTGGAAACATTTGGCTAAGGAACAAATGTTCTGCACCATATATAAACAAACAAAAAACCTTTTTAAACAACTGTGATTTTTGTAGTTCTTTTTATATTTAGATCATCTGTGCTCTGTTCTATTTCAATTTGGCATTCCATTCTCATAAACCATGTAGAGAAATTTAATCTTGTGTTGATACTATCACAATTGGAATATTAGAAATGACACTGAAATTATACAATTAGCCAAATGATACCTTTACCACAGAATGAAACAGAAAAAACAAACAGTTGTGAGTAAAACAATTTTGGAAATGAACACAGAATAAAAATAAATAGGAGAGAAACAAATATGCTTGGAATAAGATATCAACAAGTCTTATTTTATACCTGAATTTGCCTTAAATATTTAACAGTACTTAAGTTTATATAAAAAAAAACCTTATGGGGAACACTTAAATTAAGAAATTACATTAGGAAGTACTATAATGAGGTATATAAGTTTTAGTTAAATTCACATATCAGATAGTATAACGATGAAAAATCTAATGGCATTTTTCTCACTTTCCTACTTTTCTTCATTGTACACAGAGCTTCTATGCACTGTATCTGTAAAAACTACCCTTGTTTCCTTGAAATTCAAGTTAATTCAAAATGAAAAGAAACCCAGAAATTAGCTATTTCAAAAGTCTTTGTTCTAGCACAAAAGTGTATTTCCTAAGAATAATCGAATTACTCAGGATCCTAGATAAGGGTGTACATTCTAAGTCACTCTTTATTTGGCTATTATTATGTTTTGTTATTACATTTCCTCTTTGTTCTAACTAGAGGAGTGTTAATAATGCTGGCATTGCCAACATTCTTTGAAGGTGAGTAAATCTCAGAAATAATTATAATATTTACTAATGGAACAATAACCAAAGTGATGTTCAAAGACTGGTCTAGTCATCATAATATAAAATTATTTCCTCACGGTTTCCACATAGAACTACCAACCTAAACTGCTTCTATTGAGTAGAACAAAATATTTTCAAGGACTTAACATAATACTTTAAAAAAATATTTGGTGTATATAGAAGCAATTGAGTAAGCAAGTTCTGTCATTTCATTTCCAAAATGTTTTGAGGTTATAAAGTTTATGCAGTTTATGATAGAGTGACAGTCATAGGTGATTATGGTAAAAAGGAAAAATATTTTTATTTTCCATTTTCTCAGGGCTTTAAGAATCATTCCATACCACATAGAAAACAGTGTGCTTAATACCCAGATTTCAATGCTTCACAAGTCAAATGACACCCTAAAACATAAACCAACTGTCATAAAGCTGCCCTAAAATTATTACTATTAGTCAATAGCAGCAGTGGTATTATGGGAATATACTACATATCTACTGTACTAATAATGTAAAGCCACTCAGGGATTTCTAATCAACAAACAGAAGGGAAGACATAAAGAAACAGGATACAGCAGTTCTATGACATATTCTTAACAATCATAGAATGAAAGCATTAAACAGGATCTTCAGATATTCCAGTCAACAACAAGACTCTCTAGTTGTTTTCAAAAGAACCAGGAAACTGCTTCCTAATGTATTATTTTCATTTCTTCTCCATCTAGTCAATGATGCACTGCCAAGCAGGGGTTCTAAGAATTAACATAATAGATTTTTTTTGCCTATTTATTTGGTGCTAATATCTAAGAACTTACAAAAGATACTGCCCTGTAGTAGGGAAAATGTTACCAAATACAAAAGTAGAGTCACTCTCTTTCCAAAATGGTAAGTGCTAACAAACTGAATAGACCAAATTAATTTTTTTTCAGTTTAATAGCTTTGAAGAAATTTTTTAAAAGACTACATATTTCATATTGCAAAAGGGAAGCCTATTTTACCTAACCTATAAAAAAAAATCTAAATTGAAATATGACCCTTAGGAAAACTAAAAATAGACAAATCACTTACACCAAGGAATAAATGTATCTTAACCTTTCTTTAGGTTCTCTGGTCATGAGTAGAAGGCTCTCAATTGGATTTAAAAGAACTAAACTGTCATCCTGGATTAGCAGTTGTACCAGAATGTGACATGCTCATGAGACATTTCAATGGTAATGAGAAATGGGCACACTGGTATCATAAAGGAGCTTAGTCTAAAAGAAAAACTATGTAAATTTTGATTCAAAGAAGGCAATAGAATTGTGAACACTGGTGAATGAATTGTTTAGTTGTATAATTGTGCACATACTTTTAAAAAATTACTATTTTTCTACTATCACCAAGTTTTTATTATTCAAAATTTTGAGAGCCAGTTAACTGGCAAGGTCTAGAGGATACTGGCCAAAACTATTCATCATATATTACATTATTTCTTTTCCAGAAAAGGGCAATATCAATTGTTTTGTCCACTAAAAGGTAATTTTTTGCAATAATTGTGACAGTTCAATAAATAATAGATATTTATATGGTATTTATATTCTCTGTTGTAATTTAGTTTCTTTCCCTAAAGGACCACTGTTTTCTTGGTTTAGTGAGCTAATAATATTATACACATGTGAAGCAGATCAACACTTAATTAATTAAGTATATACCATTTTAAAGGTGCATAAGTTCAACTCCATGGAGCTGCATGAGACAAAGGTCCTATAAATTTACAGAAATCACTACCACATTCAGATAAGTTGAAGACAATCAAGTAATGTGATCTTTCAAGGCAGAGGTTCAAATCATTAACAATTATAAAGGGTTGGTTAAGATTAAATGGGCACAGACTGAGTTTTATTCACATTCATGTTGGTCATTTGGCATGACTGGCAGACATTAATGTGGTAAATTTTAAATATATTTTAATGCAATATTTATTACTCATGTAAAAATAATAAATTACCCAATCTCGTATTTTTGTTAAAGTATAAAAGGAATTATTAAAATTTTCATTATATTGCTGTTATGAACTTGTTCACCTCATACTATCTCAAGTTTTATAATAATGAGAATTAAGGATATTAATGATAACAGCAACAAACCTTGCTCATTATGTAGCAAGCCCTACATTAAGTGTTTCATAATCATGATGTATTTTAAACCACAAAATGGCCTATGTAGCTGTACTATTAAAATCTCCATTGTATAAATGAGAAAATGGGCCCAGCGAGTTTTAACTAACTTGCTCAGTTTCATGGTGTTAATAGAACAGAGTTAGAATTTACACCCTGAGTAGTCGGAGTCCAGAGTTGGCACTATGCTACACTGCATCTTGCATCAAGCCTCCATTTGGTTTGTTTATTTACAACAGCAGGGCAAATAACATGTATTACCACACTCAGAGATCAAATGGAAACAAATGGTTTATTGGTACAGTAGTATACACAAATTTTTGGTACATACGTTTAGATATTTCTTGACCATTCAGATGTTACTGGACCATGGTGGAGTGATCAGATGTTACTGGACCATGGTGGAGTGATGACACTTTACAAATATCATCAAGCCTTCTTAATTGAGGTTAGCAACAGCCCAACAATAAGAAAAATGTATAGTTGTAAGTTTGGGTCTCAGTTATTTACAAATTTATACTTCCTTAGGAGAGGTGGTTCTTTTTCTGGGTCATTTATTCTCTGAAGGTAGCATGGGACTTGAGTTTAGATTTAGGTTTTATATTAGGACATACCCAGGGGTGTCCTCTAGAATAAATATCTGCAGTAATCATTCACAAGCTGAATCCAAGCCACAGATGTGTTTTGTTGTGCCCATATGGTGTTCATTCGTTTGTTTTTATTTAATCAACTACCCGTATTTTAAAATAGGAAATAATTACCCAAAAAAAGCTGGATCTCTGTCTTATCCTGTTACATAAAAAGATCTGGGAAACCTGATCCCCAGTTCCCTCATGGGAAGCCCTTAGCTGGTGCTGAGTGACAGCTGCCTTCTATAGATAACTGAAGAACAAATGCTCTCCATTCAGCCTCCCAGCCACATCACCCACTGATGCTCCCTGCCAGGCCCTTTTAAGCATTTATGTGGCTGCTCATGATCCATAGAAAAGCCTCATCCACTGCTTCAGGCACCTCTTGTGTCGATGAGGATCTGAACTTGTGGCCTACCATGCAATTTTCATTCTGCCCCCCCGCCCCTTTTTTTTTTTTAACTTGGTGATGTGAAGAACAGTAGAGGCTTGGTAAAGAAACCACAATGGGGACATTGAAGACAACAAAATTTCTGTAAGCAAGTGTGTGATTTGAATCTCTAAAATGGTTGTCTAAAATGAATGCTAAGCCACTAATATATACTTTTAATCTCATTCTGTGAGGAAATCTTCATTTAAACAGTAATTGCCTGCATATTTAATAATAAAATATCTAGAGCAGCTGTGTCCAACCTTTTGAATAAGAGAACAATTTTGCTTATTGGTGGTGGCACATATCACAAAGATTACGCATGGACTTTTTTCTTTTCTTTAGCTCATCTGCTATAGTAAGTGTATTTTATGTGTGGCCCAAGACAACTCCTTTCTTCTTCCAATGTGGCCCAGGGAAACCACAGGGTTGGACATCCATTTTCTGCAGTCAAATTGTGTCCGGAATTGGTGGGTTCTTGGTCTCACTGACTTCGAGAATGAAGCCAAGGACCCTTGCAGTGAGTGTTATAGTTCTTAAAGGCCGCGTGTCCTGAGTTTGTTCCTTCTGATGTTCGGATGTGTTAGGAGTTTCTTTCTTCTGGTGGGTTCGTGATCTCGCTGGCTTCAGGAGTGAAGCTGCAGACCTTCCCAGTGAGTGTCACAGCTCATAAACGCAATGCGGACCCAAAAAGTGAGCAGTAGCAAAATTTATTGCAAAGAACAAAAGAACAAAGCTTCTACAGACCCCAGCAGGTTGCCACTTCTGGCTCAGGCAGCCTGCTTTTATTCTCTTATCTGGCCCCACCCACATCCTGCTGATTGGTCCATTTTACAGACAGCAGATTGGTTTTACAGAGAGCTGATTGGTCCGTTTTGACAGGGTGCTGATTGGTGCGTTTACAATCCCTGAGCTAGACACAAAAGTTCTCCACCTCCTCACTAGATTAGCTAGATACAAAGTGTCCATTGGTGTATTTACAAACCCTGAGCTAGACAGAGAGTGCTGATTGGTGTATTTACAAACCTTGAGCTAGATACAGAGTGCACATTGGTATATTTACAATCCCTTAGCTAGACATAAAGGTTCTCCAAGTCTCCACCAGATTAACTAGATACAGAGTGCTGATTGGTGCATTCACAAACCCTGAGCTAGACACAGGGTGCTGATTGGTGTGTTTACAAACCTTGAGCTAGATACAGAGTGCTGATTGGTGTATTTACAATCCCTTAGCTAGACATAAAGATCCTCCAAGTCCCCACCAGACTCAGAAGCCCAGCTGGCTTCACCCAGTGGATCCCGCACTGGGGCTGCAGGTGGAGCTGCCTGCCAGCCCTGCGCCCTGCACCCACACTCCTCAGCCCTTGGGCGGTCTATGGGACTGGGTGCCGTGGAGCAGGGGGCGGTGCTCGTCAGGAGGCTTGGGCCACGCAGGAGCCCACTGCAGCGGCAGGTTGGGGGGAGGCTCAGGCATGGCAGGCTGCAGGTCCCGAGCCCTGCCCCGCAGGGAGGCAGCTAAGGCCCAGTGAGAAATCGAGTACAGCAGCTGCTGGCCCAGGTGCTAAGCCCCTCACTGCCTGGGGCTCGCGGGGCCGGCCGGCTGCTCCGAGTGCGGGGCCTGCCCAGCCCACACCCACCCAGAACTCGCGCTGGCCCACAAGGCACCCGCAGCCCCAGTTCCCCCAGCGCCTCTCCCTCCACACCTCCCCGCAAGCTGAGGGAGCCGGCTCTGGCCTTGGCCAGCCCAGAAAGGGGCTCCCACAGTGCAGGGGAGGGCTGAAGGGCTCCTCACGCACAGCCAGAGTGGGCGTCAAGGTCAAGGAGGCCCTGAGAGTGAGCGAGGGCTGCCAGGACTGCCAGCATGCTGTCACCTCTCAGAATGAATTCAAAATTTAGTACAGATTTGCTTTGAGTGTTTTTGTTGTTGCTGTTTATTTATTTACTTATTTATTTATTTAGAGATAGGGTCTCTCTCTGGCACCCAGGCTGGAATGCAATGGCACAATCACAGTTCAGGGCAGCCTTGACCTCCCAGGCTCAAGCGATTCTCCCACCTCAGCCTCCTTAGTTAATGGTAGCATACAGGCACACACCACCATGCCCAGCTAATTTTTTAATTATTTTGTAGATACGGTGTCTCACTGTGTTGCCCAGGCTGGTCTTGACCCCTGGGCTCAAGCAATCCTCCCCACTCAGTCTCCTAAAATTCTGGGATTACAGGCATGAACCACCATGCCTGGCCTTTAATTTCAATCCAAATAAAAGCCTTCTATTTTCAGTTTTTTAATCTCTTAACATTTATTATAAAATCTATTAAAAACTCTTATCTTTATATTTAAATATATTTTATATGTAATATGAAATAATAAAATATCAACAGTGATTCTAATTGTTTAATTTCAATCCAAATAAAAGCCTTCTACTTTGAGCTTTCGAATCTCTTAACCTTTATTATTAAAAATCTATTAAAAACTCTTCTTATATTTGTATTTAAATATATTTTATATGTAATATGAAATAATAAAATATCAGTAGTGGTTCTACTTGTTGATTTTTCAGAAGCTAAGAACTATATGAATCTATACCATTATATACTGTAAAATCACAAATATATGTAATATATACATATATACATATAGTGATATATGTGTGTATATATGCATACTTATACATGTATACATGTGTATATATACATATTTATGTGTGTGCATATATATGTATACATCCCCAAACTATCTTAATTTAACTTTAAATCCAGTAATACTTTACAATAGAACATTCTTACCTCTGCCAGAAAAATTACTAAGCACCAAATTAGCACAAAAATTAAGCTCTTGTGGACAGTAATATATCGAAGGTATGTGTTCCATGTAGTCACTGCTGGTATGCTCTCCATATCATCAAAAAAGCACTCCTGAATAAAAGAATTATGGCTATTACAATAAGACAGTACAGTTTCATGCCACCATTGTGGTTTTATTTTTAATATATGAAAATAAAAGAATAGTATTACTTGAATCTAAGTGTATTTTAACAAATATAAATCATTATAAATGCCATGTATGATGTCATTCTATAGCCAGAATAATGTCTACTGGAGCAACACAGCTTTATTAAAAATGAGAAACATCGTAATTTTTCAAAATTCTAAAAATGTATCACTGATTATATAACTGTATTATTATTGGACAATTTTACCATTAAAGGCTTAACAGTGGCATACCTTTTATCAAATGAATGATACCATCTAAATGAAGTTTCCCAGAACTCTCTTTGATTTAACCTGTTTCTTCAGGGGTCCATGGACAAGTACAGTTCAGTATACTTCTAGCTATAAAGGTCTTCCAATAGACTGAAAGCTCATTTGTGTTTGAACATTTCTTAGTAACTTAGGACTTTCTCTCTTTCCAGCTGTGATTTAAATTACATAATTCTCATCCTAGGCATATTCCTCTAGAAATCTTTGTCTTTTGGCATAGAAATACATTTCAAAAATTTGAAAAAGAGAGATTCCAGACAGTCCAAAGGAAAAAGAGTTTTGTTTCTCACAAAATCAACAAAACTCATGGGAAAGTGCTATGAATCACAAAGAAGGGCTCCTATGGAATTGGGATATAGTGCACTGGTTAGGAGTATGCATTTTTTGAGTCAGACAGATCTGGATTTGAACCCAACCTCCACCATTAACATCCTAGGAGCTGCTTGAATTCAAGCATGTTGCCGAACTCTGAACTTTAGTTTCCTTATCTGCAAATGTGAAAAATTTTAAATACCTTCCAGGGTAGTTGTGGGGACTAAATATATGCCACCTAGCACTAGATGCAATCCATTAATAGAAACTATTATTAGTCAAGGATATCATTCTTTACAACTAAATTTTTAGGCTCAGGACTGAGAAATTCATTTAGATTGATATTAAACTATATAGATGGGCTGGGCGCAGTGGCTCAGGCTGGACGTGGTGGCACACGCCTGTAATACCAGCACTTTGGGAGGCTGAGGTGGGTGGATCACAAGGTCAGGAGTTCAAGACCAGCCTGGTCAACATGATGAAACCCCTTCTCTACTAAAAATACAAAAATTAGCTCGGCATGGTGGTGCATGCCTGTAATCTCAGCTACTCAGGAGGCTGAGGCAGGAGATTAGCTTGAACCCAGGAGGCAGAGGTTGCAGTGAGCCGAGGTTGCACCATTGCACTCCAGCCTAGGTGACAGAGCGAGACTCCATCTCAAACAAACAAACAAACAAACACACAAAAAAACACTATATAGATGAATTATCATTTAGGAAACCTTCATAAAGTTTAGAAATACTAAAATTACACACTTTAGGGATCTATTTTATTCCCTCATTTTACAAAGAAGGAAACTTCTGCCTACAGATGTTAATGGCTTGTGTCTTGTCAAAGGTCATATTATTCACAAATGATCTATACTATTAAACATATCAATTCATTACAACCCTGCCCATGGCTCATTTCATCCAAGGCATTAAGTTTTCTACTAAAACAACAAAAACTCTCCTTTTTATATTATTTCCTGTTTTAAAAATAAAATGCTTTTATTCTTAAAACCTAATAGAACAAAATTTCTGTCTGAAGATTGGCACTAGTACATGTTAAGCTTATATACATTCTCTAAAAGAAATCTTTTCAGAAACCCAATGTATAAAGCAAACTCACAAGATAAAAAAAAGCCCACACTAGCTAAATTCAGGCAAGACTGATATACAAACCAGAATGTGAGTTAGTCCTATCAAGAGGCTAAATGTTTATATACCTTATATATGCTACTTCCATACAGATTATTTTGCGAGCTATAAATAATGAAAGCTACTATTTATTTATACAGTTATTTATACTGCACCTCTTCCCACAGAGGGTTCAAGATGGTAATAAAGCAAATGCTTTCTAACTTATAGTCACAGTTATCACTGGCTTAGTAGAGGACCAAAAACTAAATCCTTTCCCATTTTATGGGAAGAGATATGTCCATTGCAAAAAGAAATCATTTGTTATTTTACATTTTAACGTTGCTTGTATAATTAATGAACTTCATACTTTCTGAGTTTTAAGATACACCTTATCCTAATCCTATGATTTTAGTAAATTTTGTTACATGCTACATATTGCATTCTACTCAATTGCATTCTGTGGGGTGAAATACCCCCAAGCGATGTATACCTACCTTTAAGTCTTCTTCGTTAATTTCTTCACTTATTTCCAAGCCAGTTTCTTGAGATAACCTTCTTGAATATATATCCAGTTCAGTCAAGTTTGCCTGAGGGGCCAGTGACACTTTTCGTGTGGATGCTGTTGTCTTTCGGTGAATGTTCTGACCTTGGTTAACTGAGTGTGTCATCAGGTTCAGGACAGACTGCCTCCTTCGTGCCTGAAGCGTGGGGCCAGTGCTGATCACGCTGATGCGAGGCAGTATCGCCTCTCCCTGCTCAGAATCTGGTACTAAGGACAGCCTTCTCTCTAAAGGCTCATCAGAATCCTCTTCGATGCCATTCATTTGTAAGGGAGTCTTTTGCACAATGGAAAATTTTCGTATAGAGTTGATTGGATTGAGAATAGAATTCTTCCTTTTTTCCCCAAACTCTCCAGTCTGTTTAAAAGATTGTTTTTTTGTTTCTGTCCAGGAGACAGGAGCATCTCCTTCTAATGAGAAACGGTGTAAGGTCTCAGTTAGGATTGAATTTCTTCTTTCTGCACTAAATTGGTCGAAAGAATCACATCCCATGAGTTTTGAGCTAAAGTCTGGCTGTAGATTTTGGAGTTCTGAAAATGTCCCATAAAAATAGCTGCTACCTTCATGCAAAATTAATATTTTGTCAGCTTTCTTTAAATGTTCCATTTTAGAAGTGACCAAAATCCTAGTTTTGTTAGCCATCAGTTTACAGACACAGCTTTAAGATATAAAAACATATAAATATCAATTTTATAAATACTTTATTGCAATATGTCTCGTATTTTAGCATTTTGTTAATGTTTTATTGCATATAATCTCTATCATACAATTTTATTATATTTTAAATGATTCTATAAGTACTCTGTAGTAATTAAATTGGTACCTTGTGAATTCTGATAGCATGAAATAACATGCTATATTGAAAAGTTGCATGTTAACAGACTGAGAATGAAATTAAATTTCCTATATTAAGTAGATATTTGACTTTGAGCAAATCATTTATCCTCGGGGTCTCTCAGTTTATTTATCTAGAAAATGAGGAAATTATTAGATGATCTTTAAGGTCCCTAGAGATTTGTACTTCATTTCTTTTAAATGTCAGAGCTTTGTTGCTCTTTAAATTTTCTATTAATTTCTTTTTTACATTTTAGGTTGACCATCAATTTATTTCTCAAGTGTTTACATTAAGACTAATCTGTTTCACTAAAAATAAAACAGCAATAATAACAACTGAGAATTCGATAATTAATTTGACTCTCCTCAAATAGAATTTTAATCTATTCTAGAAGTAAATCCTGACTAGAATCATCTAAGACATATCAGTTTTTTTAGGCATTAAAATGTCATATATCATATAGAAAGACACATTGTTCTAGATTATACTGTAACACACTAACACAATACAAATGTAGTAAAGTTTATATTGATAGAAGTTACTTTTCACAATCTCAGGGTTGAAAAGATAGTATCTTGGATATTAAATTTAACTAAATTCTAAGAAAGGTACTTCTAGGAATAACCCAGCCATTTTATATACATATACATCTTTATTGCTTAAAGTCTTTATTTTTAGAAGAGTATAATAACTGTTCTCCTAATAAACTACTTGATAGTCCATTAAATCATTTTGAAACTTTGAAATCAAGCCATATAACTGACTGTCTGTCTGTCTAGGGAATTTCATGTACATTGGACCCTAACAGGAGTTCCAAGGAAATATAAGTCCTGAGCTCTGTGTGACTGAGGAGGAGATCTCCAAGGAAGTATTGAGGTAGATGAGTAGTCTAAGCATATTAAACCAGTAAAACACTTAGCATATATATTTTCTTAAGAAGGTTACTATCTAAGGAGAAGACAGAATAAAATACTAACACAAAAAGTAAATAAAAATGTTAAGTATAATAATAATTAAAGTAATATATATCACAAGGCAATGATACTGCAAAAACTACATAGATAGCAATTGCTATAACAGTATAGCAATGAGAGAAACTGGTTTAGCATGAGGCGGTGAGAAAAGGTTTTAATGGAAGTAATCTTGAATCCTGGCCCAGTAGGGCAGATCAGATTTGAGTTAATACCATGCTACATTCTGCCATACCAACAATGGTGAACATATTTCTCAAGAGGTAAAATGCAATCTATGATGGGACAGTCTGTCTTTCTTTTATTTTAGCATGAGCATTATAAGTAAGGTATTCAAAGAACATACCTTTCAAATATTTCTTTTTCTGTTAAAACATCTAGGTATCCAAAAGGAGAGTCTAATAAATACAAATCAGCATCTTTGTATACTGCTCTAAAAAGAAAATGGAAATTAAATTACATTTCCTCTCTATTTCCTGGTCATCTAGTGTAGATGATTTGCCTTAAACAGTTCACTACATGCATTACAATATGGTCACCACATCGATTCACTGAAATAACACTATTCTCAAAAGTGGTGCAGAAGTAGCACTTTTATACATGTTTTTACTATGGTAGATTATTTTAAATGAGGAATAAAGGAATAAGTTGCAGAAGATTTTTATCACTTTTCACAACATTCCAAGAACTGCTGAAGTGATTTTGCTAACTGTAAGTGGCATAAACTAGCAAAAGTCACAAACTGAACTGTACCATAGCATACACTTTAAAATATTACCTTAAAAAATATTTTAACAATAGTATCTATTTAGAGGCAAGTACCATGCTATGTGCTCAAAATACAATGGCAAAAATTATACAGTTCCTGCCCTTGAAGATGTTGGGTTTTGGTGAGGACACCAAAAAGAAAATAAACTATTCCAAACTGTAAAATGTCAGAGACAGCTAATAAATTACATTACTTATGTGAAATTATTTTTAAAATGTTTTTCTAAGTGTTAACCACTATCAACAAATTGATAGCAGTGCTGCCACAACTGTATAATTGATATTGCATTTTGTTCCTTGTAGTTTCAGTCTCTATATCATATTCATAAAAGTTCCAAATAAGGAAAGTATGAGTAAGTCACAACAAAATGTATATCCATATTATTTTACTATTTAGCTAAAATATGAAACCATAAGCAAGTAAAATCTACATTGAGTTGACCTTAGAACAGTAATAAAGATGAAGACACAGTTCCCATATTAATAGAAATGAGATAATTTCTTCATAACATTTAAATTTTTCAGGTGTGATTGATAGTAACCTTACTTATATCTCAAGTACATAGGATTCTCTGTTTATACATGTAATTGTTGGTACTTCTGTAATAAAGAAAATTGTATTCAGCACACAATTAAGAAATTTTTAAAGCCAATTTAAAAATTTTTTTAAAAACCAATGGCAAAACTTTAAAAGTCTAAAACAACCTTTATAGTGTAACTTATTTTTGAAGACAGTATGCAAGAGCTACATAATGGATCCCATCAAAATGTACACAGTTTCTTCCCCACACTCTGTTCTTAATTCTCTCCCTCACATCTATGACAAGTTTCTTATGAGATTAGAAATAAGAAATTCATCATCCAAAACTGGACAACACATTACACATTCTGATCAGAATAAGAACAGACAATTATTTTTAGTTCCTCAAAGTGTGTGCACCTTACAGCAAAACCAAATCTTAAACTGATAACACAAACTCAGTTCTATGTTGGATGTCTAGAAGCCATATACTCTATCTTATCTAAATTTGTGGAATTCTTAGAATAAGTCTTACTTTGGCTCACAGATAAAAACAATCAACTTCCATTTATTTAGAAGCCTGTGAATTATCCGTATCTATTGATTTATTGCCTTACAGTGTATTTCCAAGATCAAAGCATGGTTTAATGTAAAGAATCAAAAGGACCTGGTTCAAACTGTGACTCTACCATTTTCCTGTATGGCTTTTGGCAAGTTAACATCTAACAGCCTCAATTATCTTATGATCTCTTCTGTAAAGCAGGGAGAACAATTCTTACTTTGCAGAGCTGTAAGGGGATTACATACACACAAAAGTACACACATGACTAGAATACTACCAGGCAATTGCAGGTGCTCAGTTAGGGTTAGTTTCCTGTCTCAGCTTTTGGAAAGCAACAGAAAGTAAGGGAAAGGAGCCAAAACATCAATGAGTCAATGTGATTTCTTGTTAACGACTTTGGCAACAAAGTGAGAAGAATTTTGTTCAGATAAAGCTTGAGAAACATTTGACATCAGAGTCACCAATAATTGTTTAAACTGAAAGTTACAGTTTAACCACAAAGCTCTCTCCTTGACATACATTATCTATATTTACATCTCTTTGACAGCTTTAAAATGCTTGGACCAAGAGTGTTTCTACTAAGGGACCTCCTCCCCCAACAATGTTAATGCATTTGTCCTGTTTATTTTAAATATTATAGATTTTAAGCCAAGTGACATCATTTGCCTTCCTATTTTGTTATGAAAATTATGATGAAAAATTTTGAAAATGTATGTTTATCTATACCAAGAAGCCTAAAGCTGGTGTGTACATTGGAGTGGCAGGGTCTATGATGGAACTAACAGATATTTACATCTTCTCTGTCCAGTATTATGCAGAATCCTAGAGTTTTCCATTTGTAGTAAACTATACTATGAGGCAAACAAATACACTGACACCAAGATACGGGCACAGATTCTGAGTAACCATAATCTCTACCAAATCTGGATACTATACCATTATTTATAGTTCTTAAATGTGATTCTTAACCCACTAGCCATAAAACCCCAGGATTTTTTCAATTCCAGAAACAGAATATAAAGCAATAGAGAAATGTCTGTAATTTTTTTACATGAATGACATTTACAGCAAATGCTTGCTAGACCAATAATTAGTTATTCACCTTGCTAAAGAAATTCTTGCTCGTTGACCTCCACTCAGTGTGATTCCACCTTCTCCAAGAACTATATTGTCTTTCTCTGCAAACTTGGAGATGTCCTATTACCAAAAATAGAAAATTAGAGAGTCACTTTTAGTATGCTCAATCTGAATTTGAAAGGCACATCTTCCTTCTAATGTAATCATATATCACACTATTGCTTTAACCACAGTTGAAATTTTGAACATTGCATCTCCATTATTTCAAATGCAATTTATTTAGTTGGTCAAAAACAACATTGCTGAAATTTTAGATGTAAATTTTTCTGTAATTTTTAAAATGTCATGAATGATCATTAAATAATAATTATAAAATACCAAAAATTAAAATATGTGTATATTTATGGGTATATAAATATGTGTAGATCATCCATAGGTCCATTTTACAAATTCAAATGTTATCAACATACTAAAATGTACTTTTCTCCAATTTAAGTTCACTCTTTTCAAAAGAAATCTCCCAAAATGAACAAACCTCCTAAGAAGAGAAACTAAAAGAACATTATTCACACCCCTGCAGGATCTAAGTATCTTCACTGGGCTTCCATGGGTCCAAGGCAATTCCTTTCCATGCTTCTGTCACCTATCCTCCCAACTAAAACAGCTTTCTTCCTCGTCCATCCTCAGCACCTCATTCTCACGACCTCTCTCCATTCATTCTGCCCCTCCTGTCATCCTTTCTCCCAGGTAATGAATATTTCTGTGGTAACAATCATTCTAGGCATTGTAAAAGAAGACTGGAATTTATGCAAAATAGTCCTTGACTCCTAGGCATTGTATGTCTAATTTAGAAGGTAAGTCATAATCCTGGAGAAAGCTAAATACTATCCCAAAGATTTAACTAACCATTTTAAGATAGTTTATAAAACAGTTCACAATTAATTGGCAAATTAATTTTGTACATAACAGAAGTATACAATAGATAGAATACCCTAGAGGCTTTCAAACCGATGGGATTTGGTCTGAGACTTCAAGAATGCGAAGAGTTAGATAGGTAGTAAACTCTCGCCTTAAAAAAAAAAAAGTCTCTCTCCCTTTTCTCCTCCCATCCTTGTACATTCGTTTCCACCTCCTCCTTCCTCCCCTCTACTAAAACTTCTCTTCCATATGCTTCTTCCTTCTTCTTTCACAATCCAGAAATAATCCAATATTATCTATATCTAAAGTATCAAAATGGTTACTTCTGTTATTCATTTGTTCCATTTATCTACCATATGGACATAAATAGGACTTTACATGCAAAACTCCAAATGCACAAAGTAAATAGATTAATAAGTAGTAATTTATATTAAGAACCATTTGGTGGTTCCTGTTGGCTGGCATCATGCTAGCTGCTGCCCTCAAGGAACTGTTGCTATCAACATTTCTGATCTAGAGTAACAAAAGGCCTGTGAAAAAAATGCTGACATGTTGGAGGAGATGTAGCAGGACTCAGTGGACTCGGCTACTTAGGCACTGGAGAAGT
The DNA here is from genome assembly GCF_000001405.40 of Homo sapiens. Classification (NCBI taxonomy): domain Eukaryota; kingdom Metazoa; phylum Chordata; class Mammalia; order Primates; family Hominidae; genus Homo; species Homo sapiens. The sequence continues at coordinate 117,586,333 of NC_000007.14, read as the reverse complement.
AAAATATAGAGAGGTCGTTAATACCCATAAGCACTGCTTATGAGAAGGACCTTCAGTGGTTATGAGACATGTAAAACATAGGTCTTTATTTCTTTCTACCTGGCCTAAATGAGCATGCTTTTGTTCAACTCATGAACTGGACCACATACCTAGGATTCCATCCAAATAACAAGAATTGCAGTGGATTTCACTCATAATTTAGAAGTTAGACTTCACACCTAATTTAGAAGGTAATAAGGTAATTTAGAGGTGTTCATGCAAGTGCTCCTTTAGTGAGGCTGAAGATTTCAGTTTTACAGCAATTACAAAACAGCTCGTGTGTGTATTTCTTCTCTCCTGCCTCACATTTTTCCTTTTTCAAATCGTATTCTCTTTTTAAAAACTAAATCTGGTTGGGCATAGTGGCTCACTTATAATCTCAGCACTTCAGGATGCTGGGTGGGAGAAATGCTTGAGATTGGAAGTTTGAGACCAGCCTGGGCAACATAGCAAGACCCATCTCTACACAATTTTTTTCCTTTTAAATTAGCTGGGCATGGTAGCATGCACCTGTAGCCCCAGCTACTCAGGAGGGTGAGGGAGGAGGATTGCTTGAACCCAGGAATTCGAGGCTATAGCGAGCTATGATCACACCACTGCACTGCAGCCTGGATGACAGAGCAAGACTCAATATCTAAAAAACAAAACAAAACAAACAAACAAAAAACACTTAAATCTTTTGGAGAAAAAAAGAGAATGAAGAGAATGGTTTGCTTTTGCCTTGTATGAATAGATTCACTGTAGGCTTTTGAAAAAGAGGCAAATTTTCTAATACATTATTAAAAAGCAGGAGGTTGCTAGAATTATTACAGTTTTCCATTGTTTTTTTCAAATTTGAACTCAACATTGTATTAATTAAATTGGTTAAAATTTCAAAATATTTTTAAGTATTAAAAATAAGTAGTTATCTTGACAGTACGATTATAACACAGTTGACTATAGAAAATAGATTATTGATTTAGAGAGTATAGAATCCTAGCTCAGTGCAGGCAATTAATGAAGATTTATGGAAAGAAGGAAAAGAGACAGGGAAGGGAAGTTAATCAAATATTAAGTTAAAAATAAAGAAGTACATAGAAGAAAATAAATAAATGTGTGCAGAGGAGAAAAAGAAAGAAAATTGGAGAAGCAAAAATTGTCAGAAGTAGAAGTAGATATCTATATATTAAAAGGTCAAAAAGATAATAGCGGGAAAAAAGGACAAGAATACTGAAGGGGACAGTAAGAAACAGATAGAAGATAAGGAACTACAGTCTATACTTTAGAAAATGTCCCTGCTGACAACAACCAAGCTGAGAATCAAATCAAGAACTCAATCCCTTTTACAACAGCTGCAAAAACAAAACAAAACAAAACAAAACAAACAAAAAAAAAAAACTAAAATACATGAAAATATACTTAACCAAGGAGGTTAAAGATCTCTACAAGGAAAACTACAAAATGCTGCTCAAAGAAATCACAGGTGACACAAACAAATGGAAACACATCCCATGCTCATGGATGGGTAGAATCAATACTATGAAAATGACCATACTGCCAAAAGCAATCTACAAATTCAATACAATTCCCATCAAAATATCATCATAATTCTTCACAGAACTAGAAAAAAATCCTAAAATTCATAGGGAACTAAAAAAGAGCCCACATAGCTAAAGGAATACTAAGCAAAAAGAACAAATCTGGAGGCATCATATTACCCGACTTCAAATTATACTACAAGGCTATAGTTACTAAAACAGCCTGGTACTGGTACACAAATAGGCAAGTAGACAATGGAACAGAATAGAGAACCCAGAAATAAAGCCAAATACTTAAAGTCAACTGATCTTTGACAAAGCATACAAAAACATAAAGTGGGGACAGGATACCCTATCTAATAAATGGTGCTGGGAAAACTGGCAAGCCACACGTAGAAGAATGAAACTGGATCCTCAATGCTCACCTTATACAAAAATTAACTCAAGATGAATCAAAGACTTAAATCTAAGACCAGAAAACATAAGCATTCTAGAAGATAACATTGGAAAAACTCTTATAGTCATTGGTTTAGGTAAAAAGTTCATGACTAAGATCCCAAAAGCAAATAAAACAGAAACAAAAATAAATAGATGGGAAATAATTAAACTGAAAAGCTTTTGCACAGCAAAATAAATAATTAGCATGGTAAACAGACAACCTACAGAGTGGGAAAGAATATTCATAAACTATGCATCCGATAAAGGACTAGTATCCAGGATCTACAAGGAACTCAAACAAATCAGCAAGAAAAAAAAACAAATAATTCCATCAAAAAGTGGGCAAAGGACAGAATAGATAATTCTCAAGATATACAAACAAATAACAAACACAGGAAAAAATGCTCAACATCACTGATTATCAGGGAAATGCAAATTAAAACCACAATGAGATACCATCTTACTCCTGCAAGAATAGCCACAATTAAAAAGTCAAAAAATAATAGATGTTGGCATGGATGTGCTGAAAATGGAACAGTTTTACACTGCTGGTGGGGTTGTAAACTAGTACAACCACTGTGGAAAACAGTATGGAGATTCCTTAAAGAACTAAAAGGAGAACTACCATTCGATCCAGCAGTCCCACTGCTGGGTATCTACCCAAAGGAAAAGAAGTCATTATATGGAAAAAAAAAAAGCACACTCATGTTTACAGCAGTACAATTCATAATTGCGAAAATATGGGTCCAACCTAAATGCCTATCAATCAACAAGTGGATAAAGAAAATGTGGCATATATACACTATGGAATACTATTCAGCCAAAAAACGGAATGAAATAATGGCCTTTGCAGCAACTTGAATGGAGCTAGAGACAATTTATTCTAAATGAAGTAACTCAGGAATGGAAAACCAAATATCGCATGTTCTCACTTACAAGTGGGAGCTAACCAATGAGGCTGCAAAGGCATAATAATTATATAATGTGCTTTGGGGACGATAAAGGAAGGGTGGAGCGGGGGGGGGATAAAAGACTACATATTGGGTACAGTGCACACTGCTCAGGTGATGGGTATATCAAAATCTCAGAAATCACCACTAAAGCACTTATCCATGTAACCAAAAACCACCTGTAGCCCAAAAACTATTGAATTAAATTTTTAAAAAAGAAAAAGAAAATATCCCTTCTGGATTTAAATGTCCAAAGACTACAAATGCAATTTCATTATACCAATTTTTTAAGACAATAATTAAGAGGCTGTTTCAGTCAAATTTCTATCTTAGGTGTCTATAACATTTATATTTTAAACAAGTCAAGGAAATAGGAGGAGGGAGAATGGAACTAAAGTATTCCCCTCCTTCTTTCCCATATGAATAAGGTGAAAAAATATTAGAGAAAGAGATCAGAAGAGTTCATGTGAACTCAGGCTTTGCACACTCAGATCGAATGGAATATCAAATTCCTCCAAAGACCAGAAACAGCCCTCCTTTTAGTCTTATCATTCTTCAAATCCAACTTAAAGCTTGTTGAGGAAAAGGAGAAAATGCTTTAAGAAAATGAGGGATTTAGGGAAGGAATTGCTAATAGTTTCTTGGTACCATGTTACTCTGTCCATTTCAATTATAACCACAAGCTACTCTGATTCTTTTTTTATTTTAAGAGTAGTGTTGTGTGTCCCAATGCCTGGTCTTTTCAACACTTTGAGTCAGTAAGCCATGGTATGCATTCCAGGAGGGCCCAGGCCTCCCTGGGGAGATGGCTGATAAGAGACAGTACTCTCCTCCCCCTTGTCCCAGATTAGAGGGAATGGGATTCCTCAGGGTGAAACCTTCCCCCATACTTGGGAGATCTTCCAGGTTGCGTGTACCCTGGGAAAAATGCCATAAAGAAATGCATCCAAGTGTCCTTTCTCCTGAGTCACTGCTGAGTTGAAATCTGAATTATGTTTGTAAAATTCATTTTGAGAGCTATCAGATGTCATGTAAACTGTGCTTGTAGTGGTTGCTCAATAAGTAACAAAGCTGGAATATTGAATTGGATAATGTGAGACCCAGAATTTGAACCCTGGTCTGTCTGGCTTATTGTGAAATCTCAGTTACTTAACAGCTCTCTGACTCAATTCCTCTAACAAAAACCTGGGTCAAATAATAGTTTATGTTTCATAAAGAGTGCTAACTATGAAAATTAAGAAAGTGGCATTTATAAAGTAATTCTATAAATATAAAGCAATGAGATAAAATGTAACAATCCAAGTGGAATTTTTTTTAATTCTAAAATAAAACTTGGCTGGACATGGTGGCTCAAGCCTGTGATACTGGCACTTTGGGAGGTCAAGGCAGGTGAATCGCTGGAGCCCAGGAGTTCAAGACCAGCCTGGGCAACATAGTGAAACCCTGTCCCCACAAAAAATGCAAAATTTAGCCAGGTATGGTGGCACACACCTGTAGTAGTCCTAGCTACTCTGGAGATTGAGAGGTGGGAGGATCGCTTGAGCCCAGGAGGTCAAGGCTGCAATGAACCGTGATCACTCCATTGCACTCCAGCCTGGGTGACAGAGTAAGATCTTGTCTCAAAAAATAAATAAAGCAAAATAAAATAAAACTTTAAACAAAATACAAAACATGAGTAGTAACATTAGTCAAAGAGCAAAATGACCTGTTTTCTAGCCCTGTCTCCATTACTGGACTAACAGCTTTGAGGAAGTCTTTTCTGGCCCTAACTTGTCCATCTATAAAATGGGTATAATAATATCTTCCTTTAACAGTTGTAAAAATTTGAAGTAATTTAATATAAAGGGCTGGCCCATAATATACACTCAAACATTGGTAACTCTCATAATTTTGTAATGAGATATTTATCAATGATCTATATATGACATTCATTTCCATTTATCCTTGAATAGAGTGTTTACCTGATGTGATAATATGCCCCATTCTACCATTACAAAAAAAAAGCAGATTTTTAAGGCCTGATCACGTAGCTTTTATTAGCATATCATCATAAGGTATGTACAAGAGATGATGTACACAAAAAGCACTGGACTTAGAATCAGAAGCTCAAGTCCCAGGTTTGCATGACCTTGCCAGATGTACTATTGTTGAAGTTGGTATGTATGTAGCCATGTGATTTTAAACTAAAGGCTAGGATTCTTAAGGGTGAGGTCAAGGTAGACATGATATTCCCAGACAAGATCTTGGCTTCTTTCACCTTCCAAGCACGACCACACTAGAGATGACCAATTAATTTTATTTTACAATGCTAAATTGTACTATGATATTTTTATTCATCTTATTACCTTATAAACGAATTGAGGGAGGATATACAAGTTCTTTACCTTGTCTTTTCTGAGAAAATGTATCTTGCTTTTAGGATGACTAATCGTTTATTCGAAATTTCCACTAGAATATGTTTCAGCAGTAAAAACAAACAAGAATATCTTTAAATCCCCACACTTGTTGCTAATTGAATAACATACTACTGAATGAAAAATACCTAGATACATAAATATTTTAATAATCAACCCCACAGTAACTGTCTCGATAAGTCAATATCAGGATACTGTAAGAAAGTAGATTTATGAAACCTGCCTTCAAGCACTTCTGTGCTTGAATTCACTTGCTCACATTTATTTGCAGTCTGGACTAGACTAGACTGAAAGTGTAAGCTTTTGTAGTTCATAAATACGTTTATTAGATGCTATGTGATTTACCCTGGCATTTACTATCCACACCCCTCCTCATAAAAATGACCTACCAATAATATCATTGCACATAAATCTCTATGATTTTGTGATCTTATTTTTCTAAGACATACCCTCATGAATGGGATGGCTAGGTCAAAAGTATGCGTTTTCTTTATTTTTAAAAGATATTGTCAGGTTCCTTTACAAAACAACCAAAAGAATTATATTTATATTAGCAAGTTTTGAAAGTACCCTTTTCCCCATAATCACCACCACCAACAGATATTAATATAATCACACCTCAATTTTTGCTAATTTGCCATTTTAATTTGTATTTTCCTTAATACCTATGAAATTGTAAATACTGGCCATCTGAATTGTTCTCCTGTGAAATGCCTATTTTTATTGAAGTCTGTGTTATACATTCATTTTTATTTGTATGTAATAGATGTTAAAAACCTTTTTTGCTGCATATGTTAAAAAACATTTTTTCTTTTCTCTTTTTCTTTTGCACTATCCATAGACCATCTATCATGTGCACAGTTAACATTTCATGAAATCATTATATCTGCTTGAAATTGGAATTCCTGTATTTGTTTGCTATCTTTTTTTCTTCTAGTATTTCAAGTGAAAAATTCCTATATTTGTTGAAAAGTACTACCCAACCTTCAGGTTATACATTGAGTATCCTATATTTCTTTTCAAATATTATTGCTTTTTAATTAAAAAATTTAATCAAGGTATAATTTATGGTTATATTTGGTATGAGACATGAATCTAACCTCATTTTCTTTTACTTGAATAGCAAGCATGATTTATTACATTAATATTTTTATACTGAATTCATTTAGCATCTATCATATATCATATTCTCATGTTTCCTAAGATCCATTTCTGGCTTTTCTGTTTGGTTCCTCTGATCCATTTTTTTATTCCTGTATTAACACTGTGCTAGGTTTTTTGGCACTTTGGTTTTTTTTTTTTTAATGGCTCTAATATCTAACAACGCATAAATCTTATTCATAAATTTCTTGACTCTCTTTGGTCATTTAGTCTTCCATATAATAACAAATATTAACAATACTAATAACATAAATAATAAGAAGAATAGCTAATGGATATTTGTGCTTACTATATGTCAGGCACTGTTTTAAGCATATCTATAAGAAAAGATGAATGTTATCCCAAAGATAACATAGCTAATAGATGATAGAGCCAGGATTCTAACTAAGGCAATTTGTCTACAAAGCATGCACTCTTAACTATTCTTTATTTTTTCTTCTTAGGTGAAATTTAAGTTCCAATTAACAAAATTTCAAAACCAACCTCATTGGGATGTATTTATAATTTTATTAAATGTGCATATATTTGGAGAGGGTTCACTTTTTAAGATGCAAAATTTTATTAAAAATTATGATCTTTCTATTCATCCAGATCTTATTTTATATACTTCAATAACGGTTTATTCAATTGAATTTTCTCCATATATGTCTTATAAATTTCTTAGTAGATTTATGTCTAAATATTTTACGGTTTGCTACTATTATGAATCAAATAGTTATTAGTTTTCCATTTTAATTCCTAAAGGGTTATTGCAAGTAGAAAAAAAGCTACATTTTCTATATTTATCTCTTATCCAGCCATCTTATCATATAGCTAACATGTTTAGTCAGACATATTCAATAGCAACTTTGTTGAAGTATGACTTTGAAAGAAGAAGCAAAGCAACTGTTAAAAAAAAAAGTTTGACTGAGAGAAGAGTTATATTAGAAGGGTTTAACATATATCTTAAATTTTTAACAGAAATTTAGATATCTTCATTAGTGGAACTTAAATATTTGGCTATTTGGTTGTGTTAAATTTAGCTTAAAAGAGAGATTTTCAGAATTACTTCAAAAAGATCTAAACTGACAGGAAAATGAAGATGTTTCAAGCATTAGACAAGATTTTACCCTTAGAAATGCTCTCCTCAATAATATTTAATGGCCTATAAAATGTGAGTTTCATTTATAAATATAGTACATCTAACCAGAATTTACCACAGCTGCTATCCAAAATACCAATTACAACTGACCCTTGGACAACGCCCTTGGACAACATGAGGGTTGGGGTGCTGACTCCCCATGCAGTCGAACACCCACATATAACTTGTAACTACCAGAAACTTAACTAGCAATAGTCTACTGTTGACCAGAAGCCTTACTGATAACATAAGCAGTCAATTAACACATACTTGGTATGTTATATGTATTATATACTATATTATTACAATAAAGCAAGCTAGAGAAAAGAAAATGTTATTAAGAAAACCATGGGGAAAAAGAAATGTATGTACTATTCATTAAGTGGAGGTGAATCTTCATAAAGGTCTTCGTCCTCATAGTTTTCATGTTGAGTCAGCTGAGGAGGAAGAGCAAGGGGAGGAGTTGGCCTTGTTGCCTTAGGGGTGTCAGAAACGGAAAAAAAAAATACGTGTAAGTGGACCTGCATAGTTCAAACCCGTGTTGTTCAAAGGTCAACTGTACAATAACTTGGCTATATACACATATACAATTGAATATACATGCATATATGTACATGTATATACACATATATGCAAGTGTATATATGTATATGTGCATGCATGTGTCCTATATAGCCATATATATGTACATGTGAATGTATTCATAGAGCTTGATTCCTATCATTCACTATTATGGTGCTAAGATAGACTTGGTATCCTGCATAAGTAAAAGGGGATGATTATTTTCTTTCTGAACTAGGTTACTACTTCTTATCAAAAAAGTAAAACACATGTGGAAGATATGGAATTCATAAGAATTCATTTGCCCCACTTTCCAAAGATTTATCATTTTCAATCCTGTTACATAATAACAATGGTTATGTATTATGTTATGTAACATGTTCAACTGCATGGGGAATCAGCACCCCTAACCCCCACATTGTCCAAGGGTCAATTGTATTGGTATTTTGCATAGCAGCTGTGGTAAGTTCTTGTTAGATGTACTGTATTTGCAAATGAAAGTCACATTTTATAGGCCATTAGATAATACTGAGGAAAGCATTGCTAAAGGTAATAACAATGGTTATTATGTTATGTAACAGGATTGAAGATGATAAATCAAGAATGCTTATCATATATCCCATGACTGCAAAATTCAGGAAAGCCCTTTTTTTCCTCAGTTAATAAAGAATATCTTGGTCAAAGAATAACTGTAAAACAGTAGACTGTGTGATCCACTTTAAACAATTCAAGTTGTTCATCATTCAAGCTGATCATGTCACGCTTCTGCTTAAAACAACACAAAACAAAAAATATTGGATCCATGTGAACTTCAGAATAAAGTCCAAACTTTAAAAAATGGCATAAAAAGACATTTCCTAGCTTATTTCTTCAGCCTCACCTCCCAGCACTCCTCTATATCCACCTTACCCTTCAGCCACATTGAAGTTTTATAGTTCTCCAAACTCACCATGACTTCCATCACTTTGTGTTTTCACATTTCCTGTTCCCTTTGTCTAAAATGCCTGTCCTCTACTTCATCTGGCAAACTCTTTCAAGATCAATAAAAATTTAATTTCCTCTGTAAAGTCTCCAATGACTTCTCTGACAGTCATGCGTTTCTGTTCTCCTGTCATCCATTTTCTTATCTGTTCACATATCTCTACCTTCGAAGACTGTGAGCTTCTCAAAGGCAAGGGGAGGAGTGTGATTTGCTCTATGCTTTGGGAGCCAGGGCAAGCTTAATTATTGCAGGCAATATGTTCCAAGCAGTGAGTGGAAGTATTTTAGATAACAGAGACAATTAAGGTATAGCCTCTCATTTCAAGAGCTTACAATCTAGTGAGGGTATAGAGGACAACTTAATGAAAGAGCTGGCTTCTGAGCTGCACTTTTGCTTCATGCATAGGAGATCTGTTGTATCTTCCTCTGCCCAGTCTTACCGATCCTAGCCCTCACTTGTCTTTATGGCCAGCTTGAGACACTATGATGCCTCACCAGAGGAAATTCTCTAATCCTAAGTAATAAAAAAAGTTAAATAATAAAGTTATTGTTATTTCAAAAGTAGATACTGATGTGAGATTAAACAAGTAGATGATAGAATAAATACAGTTGTGCCTTGGCATCTGTGGGGAATTGGTTCCAGGACTCTCTGTGGATACCAAAATCCATGAATGCTCAAGACCCTTATATAAATGGGGTAGTATTTGCATGTAACATATGCACATCTTCCTGTATACTTTAAATCATCTCTAGATTACTTACAATACCTAATACAATGTAAATCCTACATAAATAGTTGTTATACTATATTGTTTAGGGAATAATGACAAGCAAAATGTATGTACATGTTCAATTCTGACGCTTTTCTAAATATTTTCTATCTGTGGTTGATTGAATCCATGGATTTGAAACTCAAAGATACAAAGGGCCAACTCTTCCATAAAGAAACACATGCATAGATCGGAACCTAGAAAAAATATGTCAGAATGACAATAGGGGAAGGAGGGACTACTAAAAAATTATCTTGGGACAAATGGCTTTCCAATGAAAAACAATAAAATTAGATTCTTAACTTACACAATATACAAAAATTAATTCTAATGATTGCAACTTTCAAACTTTTGGCAATATAGAATAATATATTTATGAATTCTGCTAGAAAAGATGTGTTAAAGAGAAGACACAAAAATATAAACCATAAAGAAAAATATGGATAAAAGTGACTACATAAAAATTTTAAAACTCTCTACAACAAAAGATCCCACTCTAGAGAATGGTAATGCAATGTATAGAACTGTGTTAGTCCAGGACCTGCAGGTTGCAAATAGCAAAATGGTATTAAATGTGCATGGATTTATTAGGGGAAATATTTGTATAAAAGGAAATAAGGAGAGAGGCAGAGAAGGCTATGAGACCTCAATGTAAATTCAATCCCCTAGTAAAGGAAAGAAGGGTAGAAGGCTGGATGGAAGATGTTAGAACACTGAGCAGTCTAAGGAAGGTTTGGCAAAGTCATTTATGAGCCAAAAATCAGCCACTAAAGAAGTCTCATATCTCCCAAATACACATCTGCTTTAGTATCCCAGCTGTACTCATTCATTCACGTGCAAGAAATCTTGAGACAAACTCAGTGCAGGATTTTAATACACAGCATCTGGGGCTCTCATTCAATCACATTCCCTCTAGCAAGGCCTCTGTAAGGCACATCTCATGGCCACCACAATAACTTACCAAAAAGATAATTGGTAAAGGATATGAAATCAGAATGACTAACAAACATGAAAATATATAGCATCTTACAAGTAATTGGGGAATTCCAAATTAGAACTAGAGGTAGAACAATAGAGATTCTGATTTACAAATCAGAATGGCAAGAATTAATATGTCTGTTTATAATAAGAACTTTCAAAGATTTGAGGAAATGGGAACTTTCATAAGTGGCTGGTGGTACTATAAATTGTATGGCTATTTCAAAGGGCAAATTGGCAGTATCTAGTGAAATTTAAAATGTGTGTATGTATCATATGACTACACAATTCACCTATAGATATATATGTCAGAAAAGTCTCTTGAATATGTGCAAAAGAGAAAAATTCAAAGATTTTCATTGCAGTATTGAGTAAAATCCTGGAAGAATCTAAATGTCCATCAGGAACAGAAGGTATAAATAAAATGTGACACGTTATGGGTACAAAACAACAATGAAAAAAGAATGAAATAGAATTCTACATACCAGCAGCATAGCTAGATCTCAAAAAGATAACCGTAGCCAAGAAGGCAAATTAAAGAAGAATGTGCACAAATTATACAATTTATGTAAATTTTAAAGCCACACACAAAAAAGCTACTAAATATTGTTCATAGATAACTATATGTATATATGGGTGTAAATTTATGGGAATGGATTGGAATAGTACATGTCAAATTCATAATAGCGATTGTCTAAAGCTGGGGGTTTTGTGAAAGAATGATGGTAAGAAGAATGGGGTAAAAAGTCCTACTTAGAATTTGTCTTCGCCCCTATCAAGGCAGTTAAGAAAATAGGAATGTTGTCATATGAAAGTTTTCTGTCTATAATAGACGCTAGAAATACAGATTACCTTTAAAAGTGTGAAAATAAAAGATTCCCACATCTGAGAAGATTTGATGTTCTGAGCTAATGTATTTGGCCTCCTTTTCTGGACTGAAACATTTATATAAAGAGAAATGTGTACATTTGGATAACTTTAATAATAAGTGTTTCAGAGACATAATATGAAGCTGCTGAATCTGGAATAAAATAAAATAGTGGGGTAGGATGAGGAGAATTGTAATTAAGTTCATTATTTTAAAACAAAATACATTAATAATACCAATATCCTGCTATTAATGTCTGTACCTGTTCTGATTACCTAATTTATTGTTCATTTGTAACCACATTATTAGTGTTTGGCTTTCTCTATTTGATTTAACATAAAACACTTCATTTTGTATGCACTGTTAAACATTTATCTTTGCTGATTACTAAGAGCGCTCAAATCTGGTAATATATTTATCTTAAGGGTGTTGGTTTTCCAGCCTTCACAGTAGATCTTCCCTTCCATGAAAGTATAATCTAAAAAAAATTAATTCCACTTGATGCTATCATAATTTTTTTAAAAAGCAGTATGAGAGCCTGTGCTGCTTATCAGAGAAGCCTTACACACAGGGACAAATTCTACTTCTCTTTGTTCATACTACAACTTCCTTCGAGTTCCCTTGGAGTTATCCACAAAAATTGTTGTGGGAAATCATTCATTGGAATTAAGATGCTGGGTATGAATTGACCTGTTACATAAAAATTACTGAGATTTAAAAACAATGAAAACCTTAGTCTTAAATCAAATATAGAGTTTTAATATTGTGTTCAATTAATTTTATTGTTGAAAGGGCCCTGAAAAACCTTTCTTTCAAACCATCCTCCACTGCCATTTCAATTTTTAATAATTTTCTCAGCATGGTTTAATCTACAATAAAAAGTCAAATTGTTTGGATCATTAGTTCTTAATATGTGGTCCTTGGACCAATTTCAGAATCACCTGGGGAGCTTATTTAAAAATGTTTCACCTACTCTTACTCAGGAGAATTTGGACAGGGTAATCTATCTGCATTTTGACCTGTGATTACTATGTGTACTAATGTTTGAGCTACTCATCTAGATACTTGTTTTTTGGCTGATTTCCTTTACAACAAGCTGGTCAGAAAGGCAAATGTCAGCTTCAAAGGATTCTGTGTATACAACACATTGGGTCTGTTTGAGATTGTAAAGCACTTGAGAATACTTAGATAAAGAGTACTAGAGAGGGTCAAAGTAATATTATAATAAGTGTGCAATAAAGATTAACTTACTTTATTATTAAGGAGTGCATAACAACATATCCAATGTGATATATGCACTTTTCACATAAATGTTTATAATTTCATTTTTTTAAGTGCTTACATTATTCAACTGGACCAAACAAACCAGAAGTTGTTAAGGAGTAATTGCTAATATAAAGCTTATTAACTCTGATTTGCACATACAAAGGGCAATGATATAGGGTGTTGCTATATTGACAGAAAGAGAGAGAGAGAGCAAGAGAGAGAGAGAGAGAGAGAAAGGGTGGAGTGTTACATTTAATGGTCCTGTGTAATTTTGCAATATTTACTGAGTACATTTGAGCTTCCTGTGACTTTGTAGATAGGAAAATACCATAAACCCTTTTTTAATGGCTGGCTTATTACTCTTTATAACAACCTTGACAATATAGATGCTTGTGGTAAGGGAGGAGGGTAAGAAGCTTGGTTGGGTAAAGGAAACATGAACTTTAGAGGTAATGCCATTCAATAAAGCATGTCATTAACACTAAATCATTGGGTGGTTAGTGTCATTGTTATTAATATTTGATAATTACTAAGCACTTGTGCTTTATGCACAAGGAAAATGGACAAGGGGGGAATAAGTGTGGTAGGAGCAGAGGGAACAAGTAGAAAGAACAGAGGAAGGGAAGAGTAGAGTGTGTGAGAGAACGTAAGAGAGCCAAGAGTATTATAAAGAGAGAGAGAATGAAGTAACATTTTTGTATACAGCTACTATACATGTGAACGTGTATCTGAGAGTGTTACATGGCCCTGTATGATATCTATCAACATAATTCAACTTCCACAGCAGAAAATAGATACTAAATAATTCAGAAATTAAAATTGGGGTTCTGTTTTTTTAGGAAAGATTGTTTGTTGACCTAAGTCAAACATGATTACTAATAACTGTATATAGAAATATTGGCTAAAGATTAATCACCACTAGAAAGCATGAGAACTAAGAATCTTCAATCAGCTTAAAAAATAAAAAGGGGCCAGGCGTGGTGACTTACACCTGTAATTCCAGCACTTTGGGAGGCCAAGCCAGGCAGATCACCTGAGGTCAGGAGTTCCAGACCAACTTGGCCAACATGGCAAAACCCCATTTCTACTAAAAATACAAAAATTAGCTGGACCTGGTGGCAGGTGCCTGTAGTCCCAGCTACTCAGGAGGCTGAGGCAGGAGAATCGCTTGAACCCGGGAGGCAGAGGTTGGAGTGAGCCAAGATCATGCCACTGCACTCCAGCCTGGACAACAGAGCAGGACTCCGTCTCAAAAAATAAAAAAACAATAAAATAATAAAAAAAGGTTTTTCCTTCACTGATAGGAACTGACCAAATATATAGCAGAAAACTCAAATTCGAATGCAATTTTTACTACACCCAACAAAAAGTACAAAAAGCACTAATATAATGGATGTTACAGATTTTGTCACTAATATCAAACACTTAATATTCAGTTTTATATATAATATATATGTATGAAGTTGTAAGTATATGTAACTCTGTTTAATATCTTTATGTCTCTTTAATGTTTATTTCTGTATGTGTGCAGATTTGTATTTGTTTTTGAAAACTAATAACTCAAGCATTTTTAAAAGAATGGCTATAGAATGCAGTGATTTAAGGTGTTTGGGGTAGGTTCGGAAATAATATTGGAAAAGATACCTGAAACAAACAAACTATTTTATTTTTCTTATTCTGGCTCTACCTTAAACTCATCTAGCTATAGATTTCTGGATTCCAGATTTGAGAGTCTCTCAAATGGCCCTTAAAAAGTCTGGTTTCTGAAAGCTTTTTAGATGATTTTGATTCAACTGGTCTAAGAATTGGCATTTAGCAGCTGCTAATTCCTTAACTATCTCCTCTAAGTCTGACCACTTAGAAATGCCCAAATGCTGCCTAAAATGCTAGAATAAATCCAACCCGTGAAAAAAACTCTTTTCTCAGTACTTCACTGCTATATTATTGTGCTATCTTGAAATCTGTTCCTGCTCTGGATTTCCTAACATGTTTTCCAGCTCCCTGGTAAGTAAGTCTTCTGCTTTGTAATTTAGATCTTAGGACCTGGCCTTCATACTTACCTACCCATCACTTCTGAAGTTCCTACCAGATCCTTATTCTGACAAGAGCTGGCTTTATAACACAAGCTTCTCATCTTCCCCTTTGCTGACTGTCCACCACCTGGACTTCCATAGTTTAAATTTGATATTATGAGGCATGAAGAGATTCTTTCCCAAGGGGAGAGGAAAAAGATGAAGATAATTTGGGAGAAGATCTGGAAAAAAATTTCCTGACTTATTTAAATTTCAAGTGTGTTAGAATAGGTGGTTTTCCCAAATATACACTTACTTAGGATTATGGTAGCTTGAAAGCATCATTTACACAAAAATAAATATCCTGCAAATATTTTTCAAAATTATGTCATAGAATTCTCAATATCATTAGTTCACTAATCTTTGGTATCATAATCTCCTTTACAAATAGAAAATTTATAGTCTTGATAGTTTAATAATACTGCTACACCATAATTAAATTAACTAGTATGAAGTTTTAACTTAAAGTCATTGGTGTCCAAAGAACAAATCATTAGTGTCTGAGATAGAATTTCTTTTCTAATATGAACACTAATAGGGCATAGCAAAAAGATAAGTAGTTAGATTTGGATTGTATTGCTGGTCCCACCAATTATGAGACATGTGATCTTAAACAAGTCTCTTAAACATTCCCTCTTTTTACTTTAAAATGTGAATAACAATATTTCATAAACTTCTAACCACAACATTTTCATTATCCCCTTCCAGTTTGCATATTGACAATAGATGAAAATTCCTAAAATATTGTTTGGGCTATAGCACTTCCCCATAAAGAAAAGCAACTGCGGAAGACACAATTCCTTTCCTTCCAGGCCCTTTCCTGTGCTACAAAGGCTAGAACACTAAGCACTACGCTTCCCAAACTCTTCTATAGCTAGAATGCTGTAAAATAATTGGATTTCGCTGGTTACATGGCACGTGAAAGTTAGTGGAGGACCTTCTGTCTTTCTGCCTCTTTTTTTGTTTTTCGGGTTTTTTGTTTTTTTGTTTGTTTTTTTTTTTTTTAAGTAAGGAGATGGACACCTTCACCTTCATAAGGTGGATGGCTCTATAGTAATAATGTGATGAGTACTATACTGGAACCGTAAACCAAGAGAAATGGCAGCATGGATGAAGGAGTAGCTTATGACACCAGGAGAGGAGAGAATGAAGAGGTCCATGAAAGCACTTTCCCTGGCACTCTATATATCACCCTAATTTTTTATTGTTGATGCTGAAACATCATATTATTGACTTTTTAACCTATTTATAATCTGTCTTCTCAAAGTAGAATGTAAGTTACACGAGAGTACAAACTGGCTTGCTTATCACTGTGCCCTCTGTTTGTAGAATGATGCTTGCCACACAGCAGTAACTCAATTAAGTATTTTTGAATGAATGACTAAATATGAATTCGCTCAACTTCCCATTACATCCTACCTCATATTTGCATCCACACACATTACCTGTTTTCATCCTACTCTAGAAAAGGGTCCCCACTACCTGTTTGAGTCTTATCCTCCAAACATGTTCTATGGTTTCTGTCTCCTTTTTCTATAAGTCACCCCTTTTCTCTTCTGTACTGAAATTTCAAATGCTCCTTCTCCTCAGGCTCCCTCATACTGTTATTTAGTCATGCCCATTGTTGTTTTAATTTACTTTTCTTTCATTATATATCAGATTGAGCGCATTTGTATATGTTGAATGCTTTGAATATTTTTAATTCATTTTCTTCTTATATGCCTTGTCTATTTTTGATTATCGGGTTATCATCTCTTTATTATTGATTTGCATAAGTTTTTGTAAGATTAAGGACCTTGATCCAATGGGTACTTAGGAATCTTACTTGGCCTCTCCAAAGCGGATACCATTATTGAGCATTGCGTATCATTTAAAATGTTCTCTCTTCTTCCCTTCCATAATGCAATACTCTCTTGAAAGTTTTCCCTCCTGGCTCTTAGTCTCCTCCTTGGTGTCCTTCACAGCCCCTCTTTTCTCTGCGTACCTCTTAAGTATTGAAATTCCTTGGAAATCTGTCCTCAGTCCAGTCTTCTTATACTACACTCACCATTGGTGATATCACCCACTCCTGTGACTTCATTTACAACCCATATACTGAAGAATACCTGATGTCTGTTTCCAGCCCAAACATCTCTTCTAAGCTCTAGATCCAGACAGATTCCCTTGGAAGTTCCCTGGTCACCTCAGCATTTCCAAAAGGGAACACATTGTTTTCACCCTACCAACCTGCCTCGGCAGATAGTACTACTATCCACCCAACTGACCAAGATGGAAACTTGGCATGGGGAGGAGAGACGAATGGGAAGATGTTGGTCAAAGAGTACAAAGTTTTAGTTAGGCAGGATGAATAAGTCCTGGAGCTCTATTGTATAGTGTGGCCACTATAGTTGGTAACAAATGTAATCTATACTTGAAAATTGCTAAGAGAGTAGAGCCTGATGTTCTCACTGCATACACACAAAATGTTAATTATGTGAGTGATGGATATGTTAATGAGCTTGACTATGGCAGTCATTTCACAATGTATACATAAATCAAAACATCATGTTGTAAATGACATATACCTACAATTGTTGTCCATTATACCTTAATAAGGCTGAAAAAATATTTAAAAATAAATGTTAAATTATTTTTAAAAATTGGCATCATCTTTGACATCTTTTTTCCCCTTCTATACCAAATAGTGACCAAGTCCATCCATTCAATCTTCTAATTATCCACTGAGAAGAAATTTACTCCTTCCTACCTGGCAAGTCATTATCATCCCTCACCTAAAGCCTCCTAAATTATCTCCCTGCCACCAGCCTTACCGCTCCTCCAATACTCCATACTTCATGTTGCAGTCAATGACAATCTTTGTAAAATGCAAATCTGGTCATATGACCACTCTCAAATTTAATGCCATTCAGTGAGTCCCATGGCCCCCAGTGTAAAGTTCAGTCTTCTTACTGGAGCATATAAAGGTCTGGATATAACTGTCCTCTCCCAATTCAGATCTCACAATATACCCCTTTCTTTCCAGACTCCAACCTTACTGTAATACCTACAGCTTCCCCAAAGGGCAAAGTGCTCTCTTGGGTCCAGGCTCATTTCATTCTACATCCCAGCCACACAGAAGTGACTATAGTTCCCCAATGCAATGAATGTTCTCTCTTGGCATCAGGCCTCGTACATTTTGTTCTCTTTCTGGAATGTTCTCCCTGTTGTTCACTCAGATGACTCCTGTTTATCCATCCTCTCTCAGCTTAAATGTCACTTCCTCCAGGGAAATCTTTCCTGACCTTCTAAGAACAGATTAAATGCTACTTCTCTAGACTTACATAAGAACCCTACATTAACCAATATCATCTAACTTACCAAACTGTACTGGTTTTCATCTTCTCTACTAGAATGAAAGCTCCTTGAGGACAGGGATTGTGTCTCTGTCATCAAATATGTTCCTAGAGTTTGGCCCAGTCCCTAGTTCAAAGTTTGCACTCATAAGTATTTACCGAATGATATCTTTGCCCCCCAAATATCTGTAAATCATAAACTCATTACAAATACGAACTCCTGTTATACTTGCAGGCAACATCCCTGGTGCCAAACACGATGTTTCCATACTAGGAACTCAACAAATATTTATTGAAATCTATTTCTTTAATTTATAAAATCTAATTCAAGGATAACTAAACCTGGTAAATAAAAAGTAGGTATTAATGTCTTGATTCTGAAATATAATAATGGGAATACAATCTGCCATTTCAAGAGCTGTTTTGTCTAGAGAATACTTGTACTCAATTTTTAGAAATACCAACATTCCCTTCCTGAAAGGTCTTCATGAATATTTTTCTATGGCTATAGAGTCAGAAGCCTAATGACATGATCATCTGCAGATGGAAATATTCAGCCAGAGATTTCTGAGGTTCCTTCTATGTCTAAGGTACCATTAAAAAATAAGTGTAAGATTTCTCTTGACCTCCTTAAATTAAACATCTGTTCAATATAGAAAACGCTAAGAGTGTAGAGTCGAGAATCTCAATTCTTCAAGAGGGTCGAAACATCGGGCATATATATGTCATGATACAGTATGGCTTTTATCTTTGGAAAACAATGATTTTTTACTTTGTGTTTTAATATGAAAACATGGCTTAAGTGTCTTAATTTTATTATCTATTCATAGGATAGTTTGCTCCTAGACAGCTGTAATTATATTTGTATATTACTGTTCCATTGACTGGCCCAAATCTTACTGGGAGGGACAGACTTAGGGCTATTTTGGTTTTAGAGACATAAGAACTCTCATTTGTTAAGCTAGTAATTTGTTCCAGAATTGTGATTAACTTCTAAAACCTAGCTCACACTTTTGGAATTCAGCACATTTTCACTTTGACTGCAAACTCTGGGTGAAGTTGTCACTAAATAAATGGAAAGTGAGGATTTAATGACCAGTTCATGAAAGGTGCTTAGCACAGTACTGATGGGTATGTTCTGTTCACAGATGTTAGCTAGCATTTATTTTCAAGTTCCAGGGCTCAAATGAAATGAAATAGCAGTTTAGTTTACAAAATGCTATGGCATTCCTGTTTGGTTCTGGTTCAATAGTTTTTTTTTTTTTTTAAGTTATTGCTTCATATTACAGTAAATAAGTGTCAGTACTTTGAAGCTTAATTACCTATCAGGAGAAAATTACAGGTAGTTCAAGGTACAGTCATTTAGTGATGTTTATTCTTGTTTAAGGGACATAATTCAATGTGTTTCAAATATATGTTTTATTTTATTTTTGAGACAGAGTCTCACTCTGTCACCCAGGCTAGAGTGCAGTGGCGCAATCTCAGCTCACAGCAACCTCCGCCTTCTGGGTTCAAGCTATTCTCATGCCTCAGCCTCCCAAGTAGCTTGGACTACAAACGTGCACCACCACGCCTGGCTAGTGTGTGTGTGTGTGTGTGTGTGTGTGTGTGTGTGTGTTTTAGTAGGCTGGTCTTGAACTCCTGGCCTCCTGTGATCCACCCACCTCGGCCTCCCAAAGTGCTATTATTACAGGCATGAGACACCACGCCTGGCCTCAAATACCTGTTTCAGATGTCCATTATATCTTGGCTACTGAATGCAAATGTTAATTCCTATGGTACTTCTTTATTTTCAGTTCTCTCAACTGAACATTCATAAATTCTCCTACAGTGGTGGATTGACCATTCAAAGGCTAAGTTTCAAGTTCTTACAGGTTAGTTTTTACCAGACCTGGAAAGCAGGAGGTCAAATTCAAATTTAATCAGTCATGTGATATCTGCATGATAGAGTTTATTTTCCAGAACAGTCATTAACTCATTTATTTGCTTACTTCCCTCCCAAGCTTTTTCATACTTCTTGCCAATTTCCCTCCCAAGTATTTTTTTCTTTCAGTAAATTCTTCTCAGCTTCCCTCCCAATTTTTTTCTTCTAGTGGCTTAAATATGAAAACTGCCAAGCAGAGTTTAGAAACTACATCCAGATTTTACCTTCTTCAACTTACACTGTAAATAAATTTTTATTATAATGCATATGTAATGGCTGTCATGACAGACACTTAGTTAATGAAGACCATTACGTGGTTCCAAAAGTATCACAACAACTTTGTGGAGACCAATTATATATCCTAAAGCTCTGACCTCCTTCTCACTCTCCCCACCCCAACCCTCCACCCCGCACCCCTTATAAAAGCCAATTACTTCTCCAAACTCAGGTACATTTACAAAACAGTGAGTTGCTGGGTAAAGACAGTCCAATTACTCACTACTCAAACACTGGCCTGCCTAGAATTCTCCTCCTGTCAGCCATGGGACTACGTGGTAGACTGCGGTATTGTCAAGTGCAGGAGAAGTGGTAGTCTGGAAATTAAAAAGGCAAGAGAACAGTGTACTCTGTCCCCCTTTTAATAACAAAATACAATTATAATCTCATAAGGGATAAGTAAATTAACTAGGGCTTAATTGCGTTGATTTCTCCTTTTAAACTAGCAAAGTCTCCAGTGCTGTTTACAATAGCTACAAATATTTAGGAGATTCTAAAGGTGGTTTGGACACAGGGGAAGAAAAATGGTAGGATAAGTTAATGGGCACAGGGATACGTAATAGTATTTTAAAATAAGTGTCACTTTGCCTAGAAATTCATTCTTCTATAATCTCGTTTTAAAGTAGGATATGTAAAATAGGACATGGAGCTGTTTATGAAAGAGGAGGACTGAAGGTGAAGAATCTGAACCTGACTTCTCACTCATGGCTGTACATTACAAGTTTTCTATCAACACAGAACTATCTCCATGCCTTTCCCTGTGATAACGTCTTTAAGCTATCTCACTGAGTGAATAATTTGCAAAAACAAACTGAAATCAGAAAACTATGTGAAATATGTTGTGCATGCTTTCTCCTATCCAGACAAATTTACACTTACCTGCCTGCTCCTATGACACTGAGCATCATTACATACGCAAGTGCTTTGCAGACATTAGAGTTGAACAAAAACACAAAAATGAGGAAGATAATATTCTGTTCTCATCTCCAGTTCCAAGTCTAGATGTAATATATTAAGAAACAGATCAACTTTGGCAGTCAAGATGAAAATATACTGAATCATGAATGTTTGCATTTGGTGATCGGGGCTTCATAGAGAACATATTGAGGGATTCTTGTGCTGGCACCAGCTGCTTAACCATCAAGGATTCTGTAGGTATTTCAAGTTCTTATGATCAAAACTCCTCCACACTTAAAAATAAGGGGCACCTTCATTTGGCACACAGACATTATACTGTATTGAATTCTTATTGACCTTTTCAAAGGTGAGAACACTTATTTAACAACAATACCAAAAACACAAAAAGAAACTCTTAGGTCACTGAAAATAGGGGACACTTTTGATTTTGACTGTCAAGATAACCGAGCACTTTCAGTTACTTTTGTCTGTTACTCCCAGCAATCACGTGCTGTCATGTAATCATCTGCTCAATGTCTGAGACTGTGAGACAGAACAACATTTGCTGAGCAAACTTTTTGCAACTGACATGCCTACTTCAAAACACTTTTGAAACAGTCATCCAACAAGAGTTTAAAACTCTCTCAATGTGCTACGTGGAGTATACCAAAATAAAGATTTTGGAGTTGATATTTTCAAGGAATTGACCATGTAGTTGTATAGAAAATAACATGTATGAAACATTCAGCATAGAGAAGAAAACAGCATATACTAAGTTACTTATTGTATTCATTACATTTGCTTAAAATTCATTACATCCATTACATTTTTTTAAAATACAAGAAATGTAGGAAATACCTGGCTGATTTTTTCTATTATGAGATGACTAAGGAAGCCTAAATCAGTTCCAAAAGTCAGCAGGACAAAAAAGGGAACAGGGACTCAGGGATACTTTGAAATAAAAATCTGAATGTTTTATTTGACACTTAGGCAAAGAAGAAGCATAAATTGTTTATTTTTTAAATGGAACTTATTGTCAACAATTATTTATTAAACCTCACCTAGTGGCATCCTCCACTAGTACTTTGTTAGCAAAAGCTGTGATCCCTCTGTCTTGATCAGATGTCTCAATTCTAAGTAATCCACCTCTGCATTCTTCCTTCCTAACCCCATAGCATTTCTACCTGTCTTCCCTCCCAGTTTCTCTTATGCATGGAGTCCTTAATCTTAAACCAATTTCTCCCCTCTTCTAATTTCTTGAAGAAAAAAAATCACTCTTTCCTGAAGGATCATTTTTCCTGATGCCTTGTCTGATGGATGCAAACAGTACATAAAAATGACATTTCTTATCTTCCCAGAATTCCTCTATGTAACTCTTGTCTCTTCCTGTCCATCATGACCATATCTGGATTCCTGAAATGGTTTCCTATTAGTCTTTCTCCTTGTAGTCAGATATAGCAAATAGTACCATCAACAATAATAATAATAGCTGTTTTATTTTCTATTATATATGCCAGAAGAATCCACAAGACTCTACAAAATAGGCAGTATTATCCCCATATTGCAGAGGATAAAACTAAAGACATAGCAAGGTTAAGTAACTTTCTTCAGTAACCTACGTCTGCCAGCTTTCAAAATCTATGTTCTTTCTGCTATTCACAAAGCTTCTAATCACGTCCACCTTAATTCTGCTCCTCACTATCACAGTCAGTGATATATCTACATTTCCAAGCTGATTACATCATTCCCCTGATGAAAGCTCTCCACAACCAAATTCCTGAGACTGGTATACAAGGCCTCCATGACATGGCCTTCTGGCTTATTTACACTCTGGTTCTGTCTGGTTCTATGCTGATGATACCCTGCACCAACCAAGTAGTTTCATGTTCTGTGTTTCTGTTCATACAATTTCCTCTGTCCAAAATACATTTTTGTATTTGACTCAGCCTTCAAGGCACCTGCTTTTAGAGATCCTGAACTGTCTAGCCAGGCTAAAAGCCATCAGCTAGGCTTCTGTAGTGCCCTAAGGGTACCTCTAGCTCAGCACTTCATATTGAAATGGTCTCTTTCCCCCAACCAGCCTACAAGTTCTTTGACAGGAAAGACAATAAAGTTGTCATTTCATACCCACCATGCTCACTACACAGTGAATAGTGTCTGGCATAAGATACTCACACAAGTAATTTTTATGTGTCTGAAAGGGACATAAAGTGGAATCACTTCCCAACCCCATTGCCATTTCCTGAGCATGGAGCCAATGTGCCCACAGTTCAAACCTTCAGGATCTTATGCTGTTTTCTTCCACACGATATACCAACTTCTGTAAATTGTGTCACACAGAACTACCGTATTTATAAGTGACCATCTTTATAATTATCTTTTATACCACTTTGTCAACATGAAAATTCATATTGATGCTTTTTCATAATACTTTGGCTTCATGGCTTTCCTTCTCCTTAATTACACCAACCTCCATCTTTTCTGCACAGTAGTCACTAATAAGAACTGTCTCTCAGGGGTATTTCTCCTATGTCATGTTTTCTAACAGTATTCTTCACCTCAAAGGGAGGCATAAGTAGAAGAAATACTATCAGTAGTAGAAATACTATTTCTAACAGTTTTCTTTACCTCAAAGGGAGATAATACAAGCTAGTCTCTACTGAATGGCTACTTTGTACAAGACGTTGTGTTAGGTACATTACATGTACATCTCATTTAATCTTCTCAACAAGCCAGTGACCATTTACTCATTAATCTCCCACTTCTTCACATCAATCTAATCTTTACTCTACTTTATTGGCAGCTCTTAATCAAAATATTTCTTCAAGGCCCTAACTTTCATTCTTGTCACCCTTAGAATTGCATGGTGAATCATTCCATCAGAGGACATTAGCCTTGTGCCTCTTTGTGTAAGGAGGTTACTCCTCACATTATTCAGACCCAGATAGAGTCCATGCTACCTCATTTTACTCCTGTAAAAATGCCTCTATTACATCACTAATTCGATTTGTTATTGATATGTCAATCTTTCCCACTAGTCCACAAATTCCCGAAGTATATGATTCATGTTCTACACATATTTTCATCTCCAGCTCCTAGTACACTGTATAAAATAAAGCAAGTCTTAATAAATATTTGCTGAATGATGATTCCTTACCTTATTCTTCTTTAGAAGCTTATTTAGGCACAAAAAACCCTATTATATTATTTCATTTATGTGAAATGTCCAAAAGAGACAAATTTATAGAGACAGAAAGTAGATGGGTGATTGTTTAAAGCTGGAATGGGGGAGACTTAGCTACAAAGGAACGGTAATTGGATGCTAATAGGCACAGGATTTCTTTTCAAGAGGCCAAAAATATGGTGATGATAATACAACCCTGTGAATATGCTAAAAAAACACTGAATTGTACACTTCAAAAATAATTTTAAGGCTGCCCGTGCAATCAGAAAAAAAAAAGATGTTCTTCCTCTTCTCCTTTTTTCATTATTTTTAACAACCCTATTGATATATGATTCACATACCACACACTCCTTCATTATTAACACAGGGGACTCTGCTATAAACCCTTCAGAAAAATAGACTATGTCTTATTCAATTTGGTATTCCCAGGACCTAGCACAGTGTTCAGAAATTAGTAAATGCTCATTTTGAGAATGAGAGACCCACAGTACTAAATTTATTACTAGTAATATATTTAAGCTATATTTTGGCTAAATATACTTTTAAAGGTTGACTTGAGGAAATCAAACCACCATTTATAAATTAATTCCTATGGGAAAACACATACTTAACGCAAAAAAAAAGTCTGTAAGGCACCTTCCGCAACTTTTCCACTCGTAAGTAAATAAAGCCCATGATTTATCTTGTAAGGCACTACCACTGCTACAACCTAGTCCCCTCCTAGACAAATATCTGTGTCCGCTAGAAACACTCAGATTTTTTTGTAACAAATCCAGATTTTTCCAACCTCCAGGTTATGAAATACTATTCCTGGAAGAAGGCCTTTTGAGGAATGAAGTATATCCTCTTTGAGGTAAGTCCAAAACTTTTGCAGGTAGCTTTTCTTTTCATTATGCTCTCAAAGTGTATAAAAAATAAGAATGGGGCTCTAAAAAAAAAACTGTTGAATGACTGAGTATATACATGGAAAGCCATTCATGTAAGCATGCAACCCTTTTTATAAGAATTGCCATTTCTATCTAATCCACGGTTTGCCCTTTTCCATTTTTTTGGATACTGTATTTTAAGCTACATTTTACTTTCTCTGCAATTTTTTTCATAAAAGATTATATAAAGGAATTGCAAATGCCAACTATCAAAGATATTGCTTTTGAATCACAAACACTATTTGGAGTATACTGTCAATAAACTTCATAGTAACATATTCCCTGCCCTAACATTTACAGCAATAACTACTGAACCCACCATCACACAATTTACATAGTGAACAGCACAAGATCCATATACTGGTTTCTCTTGGAATACTTCATGTAATTTTCAGATAATTAGCTCATTCTCCAATATTGTTGTGAAATGAGTAATGACATCATCTTCATTTTGCCTCTGCATCAAAGAATTGCAGTCACTAGAAGTTATATGGTATTTGTTCAAAGCCAGGGATACAATATCTTCACAATTTTACCCCTCTAATTCTCTGCTGGCAGATCAATGCTCATTCCATTAGGCTATAGTATTATTAAAATTATTAAAATAATCTTAATAATTTTTGGAGTATATTTTTAAAGATGCATATTTTGTGGTATCTTTTAAAAAGATACCACATATCACTTATATGCATGCCATATAAATAACCATTGAGGACGTTTGTCTCACTAATGAGTGAACAAAATTCTCACCATTTCATAAAATGCATTTATTGTGATCAAATGAACCCATTATTTAAAAAATAAATTGCATTTATTTCATGTGTTTGCAAGCTTCTTAAAGCATAGGTCATGTGTTTTATTAATTGATCCATTCACAGTAGCTTACCCATAGAGGAAACATAAATATATGTAGACTAACCGATTGAATATGGAGCCAAATATATAATTTGGGTAGTGTGAAGGGTTCATATGCATAATCAAAAAGTTTTCACATAGTTTCTTACCTCTTCTAGTTGGCATGCTTTGATGACGCTTCTGTATCTATATTCATCATAGGAAACACCAAAGATGATATTTTCTTTAATGGTGCCAGGCATAATCCAGGAAAACTGAGAACAGAATGAAATTCTTCCACTGTGCTTAATTTTACCCTCTGAAGGCTCCAGTTCTCCCATAATCACCATTAGAAGTGAAGTCTGGAAATAAAACCCATCATTATTAGGTCATTATCAAATCACGCTCAGGATTCACTTGCCTCCAATTATCATCCTAAGCAGAAGTGTATATTCTTATTTGTAAAGATTCTATTAACTCATTTGATTCAAAATATTTAAAATACTTCCTGTTTCAGGTACTCTGCTATGCACAAAAGATACAAGGGAAAGTAAAAGAGACAATTACAATACAGTGTGACAAGTATTATGATAGAGGTTCACAGAGAAGGGGCACATGATTCAGATAGTTGGAATAGGTTTGGAGGAAGAATGGGAAAGGTTAGTAACAGCTAACAGTTGCCAAGTGCTCACTCTGTGTCGAGTGCTGTTCTATGTGCTTTAACTATATTAATTTATTTAATCTTCACAGAAATCCTACAAAGTAGATTACCTTCATATTATTAGGTACAGATTAAGTAATAGAGACATATTCAGGTAATATTGTTCCCATGAGCCTTTCTTGGAGTATAAAGTCATTTAAGAGATGATAGTACAAAAGGACTATCAGTGAACAAAGATTTATATAACTGTGAACAAAAATTAAAACTAATGGCAGAATTCGAGTTGAAAAACAAAGTTTAAATATGTTATATGTCCTGACAATAAGAAAAGTTAGAAGTAAAAACCAAATAAACAAACAAAGGAAATGGGGTATAAGTGTGGAGTGTAAAGGAAATTTGCTGATTGCTTTATTAAGAAAAGCTGAAAGTCAAAAGGTATCATTTAAAGCTAATAAATAAAGTAATAGAAGCATAAGCAGATTTAACAATACAAAGATAAATCTGAAAAAAGATAATACTACTGACTAAAACTGAGTAGAAGGAAAGGAGGTAGCAGAGGAAGAAAAAGCACTGATTTTATTTATTTATTTATTTATTTATTTATTTATTTAGAGACAGAGTCTCACTCTGTCACCCAGGCTAGAGTGCAGTGGCGCGATCTCGGCTCACTGCAAGTTCTGCCTCCTGGGTTCACGCCATTCTCCTGCCTCAGCCTCCCGAGTAGCTGGGACTACGGGCACCCGCCATCACGTCTGGCTAATTTTTTGTATTTTTAGTAGAGACGGAGTTTCACTGTGTTAGCCAGGATGGTCTTGATCTCCTAACCTCGAAAAAGCACTGATTTTATCAGAGCTCATATTAGTGAACTAGAGTCACATAGAATGAAAAATTTAACATAAAGTTATTAGTATTAAGTATAGCCACTGGAAAACAAATATAGACTTTTTTAAAAACCATAATACACACATATACACACACACTCACAGATACATATAGCCTACAGACAATACAGTGACTTCATAATAAAGGAAAGAAAAACATAAAACAAAACATAATAAGACAGCTCAGATGAAACAAATTTACAAAATTAGTAAAAAAAAATCAAAAGGAGGTGATAGTTGCACAACTATGTGAGTATACTTTATGCCACAGAGCTATGCCCTTAAAAATGGTCAAAATGATAAATTTTATGTTATGTACATTTCACCACAATTATTTTTTATAAAAATCTTTTTTTAACAAATTCCAAAGTATATAAGCTAATCTATTCAAAAAATATTTGTGGAGGACATACTTGAAATAAAAGTATATAAGTCAGTTTTATTTTTCAGTTGGCTTAACCCATCTATTAAGAGGAAAAGACTTCAGGTGAAATTAAAGACAAACCTAACTTTATGCTAACTAAAAGAGACACACCTAAAGCAAAGAGTGCATAAAGGTTGAAAATGGAACTTAAAACTGTAAATACAAACAAAGAAACAAAAAAAGGACTATAATTTTCATGTTAGACATATGCAGGCCCAAATACATTCAATGAAAAAGAAAAGGCTCTTTATAATGCTAGAGTGTAATTATAAGTATCTATATATTAAATTTAAAAAGCAATATTCTTGAAGCAAAAATTAC
The DNA here is from genome assembly GCF_000001405.40 of Homo sapiens. Classification (NCBI taxonomy): domain Eukaryota; kingdom Metazoa; phylum Chordata; class Mammalia; order Primates; family Hominidae; genus Homo; species Homo sapiens. The sequence continues at coordinate 117,557,538 of NC_000007.14, read as the reverse complement.
AGAACCTATAAGGAATAACAGGGAGAAATGTATGTAGTAGAAGCCTTTAATTCAACTTTATCTGTTAATGGCAAAGCAAGTAGAAAAAAGATAAGTGAAGATGTAGAAGACCTAAATATCATGAATAATGATGTACATTTAATATCTGAATTGAACTCTAATCTATTAATAGAAACTACACGAATATATTCTTTTATGTGGTCAGAGAGCAAGTACAAATATTGACTATTTACTGGATACACAAAAATGATAAAAATTCCAAGCAGTAGAAATAATTTGAACAACATTCTTGGAAAACAAAGAAAATTTGTTTTCTTTCTGGAAAATGTTAAATTTTCCCTTAGGATATCTTAGGTCAAAGAGGAAACAAATATAAATCAAAGCTACAGATTTTCTAGAAAACAATGTAATGGAAACACTATATATCAGAATACATAATATACAGCTAAAGTATTACCCAGAGGAAAATGCACAGCTTTTTAAAAAAGCGTCAAACATCTAACTCAAAAACTAGAAAAACAACAAAAAAGCGAAGAAAAATAGAATAATTAATAAAGATAAAATTATAAATTAATGAGTTACAATACAACAGAACAGTTAAACTAATAAGTAAATCTAAAAGCTAATTCATGGAAAGCTTGTTTGGTTTTAGTAGAAACCTAATCAGGAAGAAAAGTATCAATAAAGGAGTTGCAAAAATACGATATAAGAAATGAAACAGGCCGGGCGCGGTGGCTCACGCCTGTAATCCCAGCACTTTGGGAGGCCGAGGCGGGCGGATCACGAGGTCAGGAGATCGAGACCATCCCGGCTAAAACGGTGAAACCCCGTCTCTACTAAAAATACAAAAAATTAGCCGGGCGTAGTGGCGGGCGCCTGTAGTCCCAGCTACTTGGGAGGCTGAGGCAGGAGAATGGCGTGAACCCGGGAGGCGGAGCTTGCAGTGAGCCGAGATCCCGCCACTGCACTCCAGCCTGGGCGACAGAGCGAGACTCCGTCTCAAAAAAAAAAAAAAAAAAAAAAAAAGAAATGAAACAAATAAAACATAGAGAAAACTCATAAGGGACCGCTTGGAAAAAAAATTCAAAACAGGTAACTCCAGTGCTATTTAAACAGAATCAGGGGAAAAGAAGACAAGTTTCCAAATTTTTTTTATTGGGTAACAATAATATTAATGGCTGTGCACAGTGGCTCATGCCTGTAATCCCAACACTTTGGGAGGCCGAGGCAGGCAGATCATGAGGTCAAGAGATCAATACCATCCTGGCCAACATGGTGAAACCCCGTCTCTACTAAAAATACAAAAATTAGCTGAGTGTGGTTGTGCGTGCCTGTAGTCCCAGCTACTTGGGAGGGTGAGGCAGGAGAATTGCTTGAGCCCGGGAGGCAGAGGTTGCAGTGAGCCGAGATCGCACCACTGTGCTCCAGCCTGGTGACAGTAAGACTCTGTCTCAAAAATAATAGTAATATTAATAACAAAATCTTATAGAGATTACTTGGAAATATAGATTTAATCTTATTTATGAATATAAATACAAAAAAATTAAATAATATACCATTGACCCTTTATCAACATGAAGGTTAGGGGTGCCAACCCACTGTATAGTCAAAAATCCACGTATAATTTTTGACTCCACAAAAACTTAACTACTAATAGCCTATTGTTGAGTGGAAACCTTACAGATAACATAAACAGTCAATTAACACATATTTCATATTTTGTATTTTGCAAAAAGTGCAAGACTTCACACCTGCTGGCATAGCTGCACTGATGGTTTCACATTTTCTTTTCTTTTGTTACAACAGTCTTTATACTGGGTTCATTTATCTCGAAATTGCAGGCAACTGTAGCTGCAGACCTCAATATATGGTAAATACCAAGCAACTCAACTTTTTTCTTGTACTGTTACAACTTTTCCGTGCATCACTAGTGGCACTTTGTATGGATTGCTTGATGTTATTCAAGGTTTATGGCATTGCACTAAACATGATGAAAAATATGCGAGAACCACTAGAGATCACTTTTTACTGCAATATGCAATTTACTGGAGAGAGAACTGCTCACACGGAGATGATTAGCATCACGTGGTGTTTTAAATGGCTATCCACAATGCTTGAGCTTACCGTAATAGCAACAGGAAGTGGCTTCCAAATTATTACAGTAGTACCATATGTACTACAATTAGTTTTATGCCATTATGGTTTAATACTACATTTTTATGTTTATTTACATTTCTCTTTACTGTGAATGGTGCCAGGTAGGGTAGGTGTTAGTGTGTGTTAAGTTTTGATAAATTTTAACTTTTTATAATAGATTGTGTATATTTTATAGTAGCAAATGATAAAATAGGCTAGTGTCTACATATATTTTATGCATTCATGGCATATCTTACTTTTTCTTAATTTTCTCGGTATTTCTAGGCTAGACAGTTTGTGAGTTTTTTCAAATTGTCAAAAAACCCCAAAAATTTTCCAATGTATTAACTGAAAAAAAATTCACAAATAAGTGGACCCATGCAGTTCAAGCCTGTATTGTTTAAGGGTCAATTGTATTAGCAAGTGGACTCCAGGAGTATATCAAAAGAATAAGGCATCAATGGTTGTCTGTATTTGGTCTTTTCTTTCCTCTTATTCTTTCTAATTTCATTCTGGTCAAGTTTGACCTTCTCTACTATTGCTTTCATTAAGTCACGAGTTATCTCCGTATTTCAGAAGACACCGGTTAATTATAACAGTTTCATCTTACTTGATGAATGAGCATTTGACCTAGTTGATAACACCCTTCTGCTTGACATCAGTTGGGTTCCGGGATACCACATTCATTCACTAGCTTTGTCTTCTCAGACTTTTATTTTATTGGGTTTTCTTCACCCACCTCCTTAACCTCTAATACTTAGAATGCCCTTAGGCTAACCCCTACACCCCTTTCTCTTCTTATCAACCCTCTTTCCTTTAGAATCTTATCCAGCCCCATCTTCACACTACCAGCCCCCTCTTCCTTGAAACTAGACTTGTACATCCAACTAACATCTCTATTTGGATGTCAAATAGGCATTTCAAACTTAATATTCCCAAACCAAGCTCCATCCAAAACCTGTTTCTCCCATTATCTTTCTAGTAAACGGCACATTTATCCTTCCAGTTACTCAGTCCAGAAAGCTTGGAATCATCTTTGACTCCTCTGTGACTTTTCTCATATGCCATTGTTCAACTTATCCATTAATCCTATTGGATCTTCCTTCAAAGCATGTCCTGAATCTGATCACTTCCTACTATACTACTTCCACTACTACCTGGATCAAGCCACCATCATCACTTGCCTGAACTGGCACAATAGACTCCTAACTCATCTCCTTGCTTCCTCCCTTGTCTCCCTACAGAATAGCCTAAAAACATTAGCCAAAGTGGCCCTGTTACTTCTGTTTAAAACTCTCCAGTGGCCTCTAATCTCACCCAGAGAAATAAGCCTTAGTCTTTACGAGCACTTTATGGTTTACCCCCTACCTCCACCGCCGATTACTTCTCTGACAGTATTCTACCCTCCCTGTCTTACTCTATGCCAGCCTCAGTGACCTCCTTACTGTTCTTCAAACCAGACAGGTATAGTCAGTCCCATCTGAAAGCTTTGCACTTGCTTCACCTGCTACTTGGAAGACTCTTCCCAGAGTCTGCATTCCCTAATCCCTCACCTCCTGCAAGTCTTTGTTCAAATGTTACCTTTCAATGTTTAAAGGCCACTTATATTTTTATTTTTGATGAGATATCTATTCAATCCTTTGTACATTTTCCTAATGAGTTGGTGATATTTTTCATTATGATTCTAGGATCACTTTATATAGAGAGAAATTCCTCCTGTGTATAAGTTGAAATGATATTTTACACTACTTATAATAAAAGAAATGCAAGTTAAGAATACATTGACATACTATTTTCCCTATAAGATGAGAAACTTTTTAAATTAGATAATATCATCTGTTAGTAATGCTGTGGGGAAATCAGCACTCTATTTAGAGTGTATGGCATGAGTACGAATTGGTACAAATTTCAGGGAAGGACATTTGACAACATCTACCAAAATCACAAGTACACAAATGCTTGACCACTTATAGGAAGCCTACTGATACAATTGCAGATGTGCTAAATGATATGTATATAAAGTTATTTGTAGTGTTGTTCTTTGTGTTAACAAAATATTGGAAACAACCCAAATGTCAATCAATAGTGATTCATTATATCATAGAATATCCATCCATATGATAGAATACTATGCATCTATTTAAATGTGTGTGCATGTGTGTGTGTGTGTGTGTGTGTCCTTGTTCAGGCTGCTATAACAAAATACCATGAACTGTGTGGCTTATAAACAACAGGAATTTATTTCTCACAGTTCTGGAGGCTGGGAAGTCCAAGATCAAGGTGCCAGCAGATTTGGGTCTGCTAAGAGACTCCTGAATCCTGGATAGCCAGCTGTCTTCCTGCTGTGTTCTCACATGGCAGAAAGGGGTGAGGGTCTCTCTAAGGTGTGAGGGTCTCTCTAAGGTTTCTTTTATAAAGACACTAATCTCATTTACTAAAGACTTCACCCTCATGGACTAATCACCTCCCAAAGGCCCCACCCTGCAATACCATCACCTTGGGAATTAGGATTTCAACATATGAATGGCAGGGGAGAGACAGAAATATTCAGCAGTCTGAACATATGTGCAAGTCCTCTGTGCTTTGAATATGGAAAGTTGTCCAAGATAGTGGGAAAAGCAAGAAGCAAAACTCTGCATATTGTTACATAAAAAGAGAGGTGGGGAATAATAAAAAATGTATATTGATTATATATATAGAGAGAAACATCTCTGGGAAGATACTAAAAAAAGTTACCTGGATTGGCTACCTTGGTTGGATGAGGGAATGCAGGAGAATGGAAAATGGACAGATGAGAGACAGTAAAGAAAGGAATAATTTTCAACTTTTTATATATTTTAATTTTCATTTTTAAATTTTAATAAATAATATCACCTGAAATATATTCAAAAGAAAGGAAGGTCATGTAACAGATATCTTTTTGATGTTTGTTTCAGTAAATTTTACAATTCTTATTACATGGGAAAAAATCTGAATTACCTCATTTCTATATAAAATTCCTTTGTACAAAATTAAACCTAGAAGTGATATTTTCACATAGTACAGCTTTATAAACCTAAACACAATATAGCTCTGATAATCCAGGTTAAAAATATATATATGCATATTGGACCAGACACAGTGGCTCATGCCTATAAACCCAGCACTTTGGGAGGCTGAAGCGGAAAGGTCAATTGAGCCCAGGAGTTCAAGGTTACAGTGAGCTATGATCACACCACTGAAGTTCAGCCTGGGTGACAGAGTAAGACCTAATCTCTAAAAAGAATAAAATTTTAAAAATTAAATAAAATAAATCATGTATAGTGTCATATATATATGTGTGTGTGTATATATATATATTCAATGATGTTTTTAACTTCATATCTCCCAAAATTCCAAAATATTGATAAAACTATTTGCAGACATGTATTCTGTATAAAAAGCAAGCAAAAACGTGAGCTAATAGCTTATTCTATACATATGAGTCCCAGTTATTACAAGAATAAGCTAAAACTCAGTACCATAGTGAGGCAATGATCAATAATAGAGACAAGGTGGTGTCAGGAATTGTCAGCAACAGCACTGCTTCAGCTGTGATGCAGACAACAGAAGGACTGAAACTCCCCACACACTGGTGAGATGCCATAAGCCAGCTTTCAGTCAAGGGCATCCAGTGATGCAAAATTCTATACTAATATTGCTTCACTAAAATAATTCAAGGAAGTTTCATAAGCGCAAGACATTTAATGTAGACTAGAACAACTACAAACAAAAATCTATTTCCTAAAGATATTCAGTTAAATTTCTATAATATACCTGTCAAGTGCTAGGCACTTGTTGACAGTCCTTGGAATATAAAAATAAAGAAGACATGATCCTTTTGCAGCCTAGATGATTATTAATAGGGGAGAGTGACAAAAGTCAACAACGTTATTACTTTATCAGTAAAGTAACAAAGTAACAGAAAATCTAGAAATATAAAATATACCCAAAATTTCAGAGATAACAACTTGATAAATTTATCCTTCCAGACACACATATATACATACATATGATTTTATGAAAAATGGATCATAATGTACATACATTTTGTAACTTGTACATAACATTTTGTAACTCTTTATTCACTTAAGAGTATATCATATACATCCGTCACAGTCATTCTTTAACAAACCTTTTATTGGCTGAATAACACGCCATTATAGAACTACACCAAAATTTATCTAATCAAACCCCTATTATTCAACATTTATGGGGCTCCCCCACCCAATTTTTGGCTCCTGAAAGCAGTGTTATAATGAAGAGCTTTACATAAGATCTCTGCAAACATATTTGGGTAAGTTATAGAAGTAGAAGAACTATTAGGTTATCTTTTAAGCTTCTGATACAAATTACCAAATTGTATTGAGTGGGTAAGATTTAACTTAAAATGTTAATATTTTCAATTATTCAATCTTATATTTTAGCTAGATCTTTTGTCCAAAAAAAACTATAAAGTGTTCCATTCCTAATACTACTAAAAGGCAGCCTCCTAGATTGAGTTAGTAAACTCCGTTTCTCAGAAGTGTTTAAATATTCCCAAGGGACCACTGCCTTCCTCTAACTCTGCCTTCATAGCTGCTTTTCATAAGCTATAACTGCACTGTCAGCCAGTAATTATCTGCTCATCAATTTTAATAAAACTGCCTGAAATTTAATTGCCAGTAAGTCTTGGAATTTGTAATTCCAAAGCTATTTTTGCACATCTATCATAGAATTGATCTTGAAGACATACGCAGAATTAATTTTAAAAATTCTATGAAACACAATTACTACCTTTTCATAAATAAACATCCTTGTTTAGACCATTGCTAACTTATTTAGTATCAGCCCCTCCTATAGTATAATTTTTTAATAGTGAACACTGCTAGTAATAATATACAAGATATAAAAGAAAAATAATAACATTTTAAGAAAGAAAATGTTTTTGTAAGAAAAAATGCACAATTCCAGCTATTTTGTTTTAAAAGCTGTTTCGTATGTAGGAAAACAACTGGAGAGAGAAACAACCAAATTGTATTATTAGCATTGCAAACACCAATTTTTTTTTTTTTTGAGCCTATCACCTAGGCTAGGGTACAGTGGTGCAATCATGGCTCACTGCAGCCTCCACTTCTCAGGCTCAGGTGATCCTCCCACCTCAGCCTCCCAAGTAGCTGGGACTACAGGCACACACCACCACACCCAGCTATTTTCTTTTGTTTGTGTTTTTTGTAGAGGTGGGGTTTGCCATGTTGCCCACGCTGGTCTCAAACTCCTGGACTCAAGCAATTCACCTGCCTCTGCCTCCAAAAGTGCTAGGATTACAAGTGTGAGCCACTGCACCCAGCCTGACACCAAATTTATTGAGTGGAAATTTTTTGTGGCATTTTGTTTCCCAAGTCTCATATTCAATTCTTCAAAATATGGTTCTCCTCATCTTAGATATTGATAAATAATTGCCTTTCAGGAGTCTTTCTTAATTTCTATTTTCATTAACATTTTTACCTACAGCAGCAGCACTGCTTCCCTCTTACTTCCTTCCTTCTTTCCTTCCTTCCTTCCTCCTACTTCCTTTCTTCCTCATTTCCTTCTTTCTTCCTTCCTCTCTTTCTTTTTCTGTTTGTCTTAGATTATTCGGTATAATTCTAGAAAGTATTTTGAAAAGCTTCAAGAGACCACTAAACTTTTTCTCACATTTCTACAAAGTACCACAGCTAAAATGACAATCAAATGGGAACAAGGAACCATTTTATAGACTTCTGAAGCAAATACCTATTGCCCTTTAGCCCATTCTAATACTAGAAAGCTCTTTCTCATCTCTAATTTGATTCTTTCATGTCTTTAAATTTATTTCCTCAATAGTTAAAAGAGAGCAAGTTTTTACCATTATCTACACAATGGGTTATATTCTTGAAGATCACTACAAAGTCTTCTCCTGACAATAAAGTTTTGGTCCTTTTGCTGTTTTTTCTTTCTAATCTACTATTTTTTCAGATGTATCTCCAAATATGCCAGGTTAAGTTGTTCTTAGGGTGGGATATGGAGAAGAGGATGACCACTGAATAAATTAACATTCCTATGTATTTCCTCAAAAAACTATCCCACTAAATAATTTTTCCTTATAATATATCATAAGCAAATCTAAATCTATTCTGAAAATTGTAATGTTAACAAAAATGGAGACCTTTTGTTTATGTGGTTACTAAGGCAAAATGTAAGTCATGATTTTCCTGGACCAGCTCTGAAAAAATGTCTGTTCTGGTTAAGAATGGATAAAATGGATGATTTGTTTATTCAATAAAGTTATTGAATGCTCGCCATGTGCAAGATACAGTGTTGAATGTGGTGCAAAATATAAAGATGTGGAAGAAAAAGCCACTGAAAATAATATGAGGAAATAAAAAACTAGAGTAAATTATCAGTGGAACAATTTCTATTATACAAGACACTACACCCATACATTCTCCTAATGCTCATGTAAGAATTTCTCCAAAAATACCTTCCAGCACTACAAACTAGAAAAAAAAAGAGACATGGACACCAAATTAAGTTCTTAATAGTGAAGAACAAAAGAACTACCTTGCCTGCTCCAGTGGATCCAGCAACCGCCAACAACTGTCCTCTTTCTATCTTGAAATTAATATCTTTCAGGACAGGAGTACCAAGAAGTGAGAAATTACTGAAGAAGAGGCTGTCATCACCATTAGAAGTTTTTCTATTGTTATTGTTTTGTTTTGCTTTCTCAAATAATTCCCCAAATCCCTGTTAAAAAAACACACACACACACACACACACATCAAAAATAAAAGATGAGTTTGTCAGATATTTTCAATAGATGCTTGTTTTATGTACAATTAGTTTGAAAAGCACATGGCCCATGATCCATTACACTGTATACATTATTACTTTATAGTACATAATTATATAGCATACGGTTTCTAGAGGACATGATCTAAAACTAAGATATTTGCCCATTATCAAGTTAAAGATTTTTTAATTTCAGTAAAGACTGAATACATACATGTATACATACACATACACACACACACACACACACACACACACACACCCTCTTCTCCTATAAGCGGGGTACATAAACACTATTATTTAATCTTCAGCATTAACATGAGATAGATTTTATAATCCTCCTCTTTCAAAGCTGTAGACTGTGACTCAGCAGTTAAATGACTAAAGTCACACAGCTTTAAAGTCACTACCCAAATCTGAATTCTACTCCATCACACTGGTAGCACCCTCCTCTGAGAAGCTCAAAGCATTTCTTTAAGTAATTATTGTTGAATATAAATATGAAGAGATTGCCAGATAATTCAAATGAATTCATTTCACAAAAGTAGCTACGAAGAAGTAATTCCCTTTTAAAAATTCCTTGCCTCACTATTGCCCCCGTGGGAAGCTTTAGCATAGTGGTCTTCAAATCAAAGTAAACAGTCCTAAAGATTGATCAGGAGGAAGCAGATGCACCTTGTTTTAAGGGACTCTATTCACTCTTTCCTAAAATTAACCTGCCTGAGAACCTATCATTTCTCCTGACCTACTTCCCTCTCATGAGTCCTTCCCTCATTTTATACAGACAGCCTTCTCACTTACCATGCAAGGGAGTATAGTACTAGTCTCACTACGTTGCACTTTCTGGAGTAGGAAAACCTCTGGGACTCAAACAAAGGGACCATGAGAGAATGACTTTTTCTTGAAAGAGGCTCCCATAAAAGCAAAGGCAGAAATACTGAAGGAGGCAGTATCTTATTTCACCCAGATTTCAAACCTAAGGCAATCTACATGTCCTATCTATTCTTAGAGTCAAATTGCAGAAATAAGTAGGGGAATAAGGCATTTTAATTAACAAATTATTTAATTATTTTAATTTTAATAATTTAATTAATTAATAATAGTTATTACTTATCTGTATTTTAAAGTCAGACTTTTCCTGACAGAAAGCAAGTTATATTTAGCTGATTGACTTGACAATAAGAACCAATTTTATAAATTAATTTCTTTTCCATAAATTGAATGCACTGAAACTGCAGCTTCAGGGTTTTGAAGAAATCCATGTATAGCATACTTAAGCAGTTTAAAATACACAAGAAACTACATCATTTGCCACCACTTAAAACTATGTTGAAAAATTTATAAGTTAACTTAAAAGTGTGTCAGGGGTACATAGGTTTTCAAAATTCTTTTAAGGCATACATAAACAATCATGCTTGAAAACTACTGCTTTTAGTTTTTTATTATATGGGTAGCTAACAATGAAAGTATTTTAAAATGAGACAAAGGCATTTGTTATTCCCTTATTCATTTATTTATCTAATAAATATTTATTGAGTATAATCTCTGTGTTAGAAACTACTTCAAACATCCTACATGGGAGAATGACAAACGAATTAATATTGCAATGAGCTTGGTGCTACAATTGAAATCACACCACGTCATATGGCAGTACATTCAAGAGAACAACCAACTCACCCTTGACCAAATAAATGACATACATGCTAGGCTATGAAGGATGTAAGTAGGATTTCACAGGACTAAGAAATGGTTATAGGTGTTCCAGGAAGATGGATCTGCATGCACAATGATTTAGGCACAAAGGAACAAAATATATCTCAGGAATGGTGTGAGTGGCTGGATCAGATGTATATGGCAAGGTGACAAAGGCTATTAACCTAAAAGTTGTGAGTATCATGCTTAGAAGTGGGACTTTTATCCAATAAGCACTTGTACCAGTGGAAGACTGTTGTTACTAATAACTTTTATTTCTGATTACAGAAGACACATTTCAAGAAATTTGGAAAACACAGAAAACCAGAAATAAGAAAAGAGAAATCACCTGTAGTTGTACCACTGAGAACTATGTTTAACATTTCAATGGATATCACTCCACACATTTATATTTATATTTACATTTAATAAATATGTATATTTACATATACTAAAAATCATATATACAGGTCAGCTGCAATGACTCATGCCTGTAATCCCTGCACTTGGGGTGTCCGAGGCAGGAGGATTGTTTGAGAACAGGAGTTCAAGACCAGCCTGGGCAACGTAGTGAGACCCTGTCTCTACAAAAAAATTAAAAATTAGGTAGGTGGCCAGGCGTGGTGGCTCACACCTGTAATCCCAGCACTTTGGGAGGCCGAGGCGAGTGGATCACGAGGTCAGGAGTTCAAGACAAGCCTGGCCAAGATGGTGAAACCCCGTCTCTACTAAAAATACAAAAATTAGCTGGGCACAGTGGCAGGCACCTGTAATCCCAGCTACTCAGGAGGCTGAGGCAGGAGAATCGCTTGAACCCGGGCAGCAGAGGTTCCAGTGAGCCAAGATCGCACCACTGCACTCCAGCCTGGGTGACAGAGTGAGACTCTGTCTCAAAAAATAAAATAAAATAAAATAAAATTAGCTAGGCATGGTGGTGTGTGTCTGTAGCCCTAGCTACTCAGTAGGCTAAGGCAGGAGGATCACTTGAGCCCAAGTTCAAGGTTACAGTGAGCTATGATTGTGCCACTGCACTCCAGCCCACGTGATAGAGCAAGATTCTATCTCTTAAAGAAAAAAAAATCATATATGTGATTAAAAAAAAAAATAAGTGATGATATGCTAAGTGAGAAAGGGCTTTGGAGTCACAGAAGCCTAGCCTGACATTTTAGCTCTGCCCTAGCTAGTTGTGTAACCATGCTTGAGTTACTTAAACTGTCTAAGCCTCAGCTTCCTAATATGTTAATAGGAATGTTACTTACTCTCAGGTTTGGAGCAAGGGAGGAGTTGTATATAACTCACCAGGGACTTGCCTCTCAGGGATGCTATCAAAGGAGACAGAGAATACACTAAAATGAGTGCGTTTATGAAGCTTGGGAAGTGATGAACAAGAACCTTGAGGTACACGCAGGAAATTTGGAAACATATGTATGAAGTTCAAGGAAGAAACTGAAGCCAGAGATGCGCATTTGAGAGTCATCAGCACATTGGTTATCACTTGAGCCTGAGAGAGGTCACCCACGGAGAACATAAAAAGCCAGAAGGAGGCTGATATGGTTTGGCTATGTCCTCACCCAAATCTCATCTTGAATTATAGCTCCCATAATTCCCATGTGTTGTGGGAGGGACCCAGTGGGAGATAATTGAATCATGGGGGAGGGTCTTGCCCATCCTATTCTCGTGATAGTGAAGAAGTCTCACAAGACCTGGTGGTTTAATAAAGGGAAGTTTCCCTGCACAAGTTCTATGCTCTTATCTGCCTCCATGTGAGACATGCCTTTCATCATCCACCATGATTGTGAGGCCTCCCCAGTCACATGGAACTGTGAGTCCCTCAAACCCCTTTCTTCTGTAAATTGCCCATTCTTGGGTATGTCTTTATCAGCAACATGAAAACAGACTAACACAGAGGCCTAGGTGGGGACCCACTGGCCCATCATCACTTAAGTGGCAAGCACGGCAGACTTAGAAGTCATGGTCTGAGGCCAAAATAATCTGGAAAGAACGGTTCACTGAAGCTAAATTAAATGATAAATTCCACAAGAGTATAACAGTTTTAATAGATTGGTGATAGCAGAATCTATGTTGTAGTGGGGAGAAGTCCACAAAAAGTGAAGAAGTGAGAACAGCCTTGACAGCAAAGGGAAGAAGAGTGATAAGGTTTTGGGCATGAGGTTGCGTGAGCGAAAGTCAGGAAAGAAATTGTTTAACTTGAAAATATTTAAACATGAGAAGGAGTCAGTTGACAAAAGATGTTGAAGCTTCTGGAGGAAGAATAATTGCTGGTCCCCTGTTCTGAGAAGATGAAGCAAAATAGAGTAGTTCAGACAAGGGTAAGAAGAAGTATACATCTTTCTCTTAGACACAAAAGAAGAAAAAGATAATTCCAAAGGTGAAGAGAGAAGTTGGAAACATTCAAATATGACGGTGGCCTCTATTTTCTCCATGTATTGTGGGAGACAAGGCTATCTACTGGGGGTGAACAGATCCTGAGAAAAGACGGGAATTTTGTGAATGTGATAAAAATCTGGAATAGCCTTTAGGGAAATGGTAAAGGAAATTAAAGACAAATGAAAGGATTTCCCAAGAAGGATTATAGACCCATATAAGGTTTAAACAATAAATGTATAAAACTTACAGTTGACTAGAGTCAACAGATAGCACTACTGTTACCCAGATAGCACTTCCTTCTCCAAAACTGATAAAGTAAGTGTTCTGTAGGAAAAAGAAAAATCACCAAAAGGAAAAGGGAATTGAGAGTGCAGCTGAGAGAATAAAATTATTGTTCTTCGAATAAGCAGAGGTTAAATCAGGAGGAGTTCAAAAGGAAGAATTAAAGAGACTAGAAATCCTGATGAAATGGAAAGGCAGTAAATGTAGAATTAAAAGACTCAAACAGTTGGAAGATTAGGAAATTCCAAGCTGAGAAAGAGATTTCAGAGTGCAACATTTCCAAAGTAAGGTAAGTCCAGGTGCTAACAAAACTCAGGATATGACTAAGAGAGAAAGCTTTTAAAGAAGTCACTACAAAATATAAGTTCTAAGTACAGTATTGGAAGACTCATTTATATGGACGTTGAAGTCGCAAACAGGAAGTTTAACAAGCATCACCATCATAAGTAAATGCCATCAAGGGGTGCCCAGAGTTTAGGTGACAAAGACTGGAGGAAGAGGATGCCACCAGATGGAAGACAACAGTTTAGTGAAAGGGCTCTAGCCTATGACATTTGGGACTAAAATCCATTTTCAGTCCTTGCCAGTTGTGTGAGCTGAGCCAAGTCCCTAAACTTTTTGAAGCCTCCATTTTATTATTGGTGAAATGAAAATATTAATTTTATTTAGGTCATAGAAATGCTGTGAGAATTAATTGGGACAAAACATATAAAGTGCTTATCCTAGTGCCTGGCACATAGTAAGGGCTCAAGCATGCTACCTATTTGATTAGATGGAGTGAGACAGGAATTGAGGGTTTTTGCACCAGAGTAGGAAAATAATGACCTGAAAGTAGTAGAAAATGTCAAACTGCATATTTTTCCTTCATGCCGACGAAGACACTTGAAATTCCTAAAATCAAAGTAAAATAAATCTGATCCACAAACTTTTCTACAAAACAATTTTGCTAGGCAGATGGGAATTACTCTTACTATATCTTTAAAAAATGAAGTAAAATGAAGCGCTGGTGCTCAAGTTACTTATATCAATGAATCCAAAGTATGACATTAAGAAAGATTTAGACCTAGGACACTGGTTTTATACCTCCTACCTTTACACAACCCATGTAAGTGAGAAGAAACTAAAACTTCAACAGGTGTGCTCAATAATCAAATATTGCACTTCAGAGACTAAAAATCATTGATAATATTTTTTATGTGGAGCAGTATGATAGAATTTGTAACAGTGGATGAAAATAGGTTTAAAATGGTAGAAAACAATACACTGGTATATCTCTCTCGCATCCTTTTATTGGCTGGTATATATAAAGCACTTTAGACTGGAACTTGCAATCAGAGAAGCTAATGTTTATTGAGGAACAACTGTGTGCATGGTACTCTGATGAATGTTTTACCTAAATTCTCTCCTTCAGTCTTCACAACAAACTTGCAAGGTAAATATTAATATTCTCCATTTTACACATGGAGAGCCAGAGGGCCCACAAAGTTCAGTAACTTGACTTAGATTACACAGAAAGTAAATGGCAGAGCCAGGATTCAAACCCAGCTCCAAAACTTATGATCTCTGTATTATTTCCTGATCTGTTATGTGAAACAAATTGTATGACTTAAAAATAAAAAAAGCTTTTATATTGCATTTAATATTCCTCCACTTCTTTTTATTTTTATTTTTATTTTTTTTTCTTTTTCAGACAGAGTCTCGCCTTGTTGCCCAGGCTGGAGTGCAGTGGCGTGATCTTAGCTCACTGCAACCTCCGCCTCCCAGGTTCAAGTGATTCTCCTGCCTCAGCCTCCCGAGCAGCTGGGACTACAGCATCTGCCACCATGCCCAGTTAATTTTTTGTATTTTTAGTAGAGACCGGGTTTTACCATGTTGGCCAGGCTGGTCTTGAACTCCTGACCTCAGGTGATCCACCCGCCTTGGTCTCCCAAAGTGCTGGGATTACAACCATGAGCACCTGGCCATTCCTCTACTTCTTAATCTAGAAAATAAGTGAGTGATCCTCCTTCCAGTTCTACCAGTTATATCATCATTCTAATTTTATTCGCCATTAGGATGAAATCCATATTCACAAAGAAGAAAACAGTTAGGTGTTTAGAGCAAACAATTTTTTAAAAATTCTGACCTCCTCCCAGAAGGCTGTTACATTCTCCATCACTACTTCTGTAGTCGTTAAGTTATATTCCAATGTCTTATATTCTTGCTTTTGTAAGAAATCCTATTTATAAAAGAGAGCAAAAACATATTATAGAATCAGAATAGCATTAATGCATTATTACATCTACTTTATACTCTCATTGTGCTACATCTTATATATGAATTTTAATAATGAAATAGTAATTATTTCTTAATAAAATAATTTTATTAGTGTTCTAAAGTTAATTTGCCAAGCACTAGGATTCATCATATTTGAAATATACTCTCTAAACATATGATATTTTATAAAACTTTTTATACATTAGATTTAACATACAACTGATTCTTCCTTGTACTATTACATGCTAACCTTAGTGATGAATTTACAAAGCAACCCTGAATTACCCACTAATGTGCCTTAATCCAACATTGGACGGAGAAAAAAAATGAATGTCTTCATCTTAATAGCACGCTCCTTATTAAGGGCCTCATTAGCATCACTTCTGTGGGTTAAGGAAGCATGTGAAGGTATATAACTAGTTTTAAGGCATCAAACTGTGATTCTAAAAGAAGGGCTCTATTAGAGACTCCAAATCAGTTTCCCTAGGGAAGGTAGGAGCATAAGGAAGAATTAAGTCCACGCATACTGAAGTCTTGGCCATAAGAAATAATGAAAAAGCCTGGTCCTTGCCTTGCTTCTTCATTTTCTTCTCTGCTCCTCTCTACCTCTCTTTTGGTTTCTCTCATTTTCTCCCAGTTTGGTTTTCTAGATCTGTTTCTCTGTCTCTATGCTCCCATTCAGTGACTCTCCCCAGATCTGTTTCTTCTTCTTTCTTTCTCTCTCTCTCTCTCTCTATTTCTCTCTCAATGGGCTAACAGAAGACAAGATGATTCCCAGAGCTACTTACTATGATTCAGAGCTAGATTCACCACTTTGTCTAAATCACAGATCTCAAACTCACTTAGTCTCAGGACCAAATAGGTGATATAATGAAGGAATGGGACTGAGAAGAGAGCATGATGAACAGGAGAGGGCAGGTGCTCTGTGAGCAGGGAGCTGTCACAGCTTGTGGAAAAGGAGGACGCAGTTGACTAGTTATTCCAATTCTTCAAAAGAGGCTGCACACATGAGTGTGTGTGTTTATGTGTGTGTGTGTGTGAGACATCTCCCAATTTTTAATTGCTGGCAACCAATACAAATTTTTTAAATGAAAGGTTAAATAAGACAGGTCTAGGAGCCAAAATTAGTTCTATGGGACACCATTTGCAACCTCTGGCCTAGATTAAATAATGCCAGAACTACCTAAGAGTGGCTCACCCTTCTCTCTCATTTTTATTTCTGTCACAGTGACTTATTTTCTGGGTTAAATATTTAAATAAACAGCAAAAAAGCATAATAAGTATTTATTTGCTTCTTAATCATATACAAGTTTATCCAATTAGCTTTGTATAAATTGAGTCTTATCACTTGAAAACTTTAGAATTTCTCAAAGCTGCTAGCTACATCAGTATTATTGGGATTTTAAGGTAATTTGGCATAAAATGCCACTCTCATCCATCATACTGTCCAGAGAAATGCTAGGAAAAGTTTAAGGTGAACATTCCTAGTATTAGCTGGCAACTTTTATAACTTCCTAGTGAAGGAAATTTCTTTTTCTATCTTTTCGCACATTTTTGCAAAGTTCATTAGAACTGATCTATTGACTGATTATTTAAATCATAGTATATAATGCAGCATTATGGTACATTACCTGTATTTTGTTTATTGCTCCAAGAGAGTCATACCATGTTTGTACAGCCCAGGGAAATTGCCGAGTGACCGCCATGCGCAGAACAATGCAGAATGAGATGGTGGTGAATATTTTCCGGAGGATGATTCCTTTGATTAGTGCATAGGGAAGCACAGATAAAAACACCACAAAGAACCCTGAGAAGAAGAAGGCTGAGCTATTGAAGTATCTCACATAGGCTGCCTTCCGAGTCAGTTTCAGTTCTGTTCTATAAAAAACAATAACAATAAAATTCAGGATGTTATTTTATTTTTCAAATATCAGGGATCTTGGAATGGAAGATCTGAGCATGGTCTCTAGAGTCTTTCTGCCTATATTTTTAACCTGGCTCCACATCATATGACCTGTGTGACCTTGGGCATGTTATTTAATCTCTCTGGGCCTCAGTTACCTTATATGAAAAGATAACAATGAAAGTACCAGTGTTTTGCTTGTAGTACTTGTAAATATTATTTTTAAATTATAAATATTATTTTTAAATTATAATTAATAATTTGTTATTAACATTATTATGACATTATTTTTAAACCTTTACTTCATTATTAACTTGTAATATTAGTTAGACTAATCATTTTTTGCTTGTTGGTTGGTTGGTGTTTTAAGTAATTAAGTATGGAAATGAGAACAACATTGCAAGATTTATAAAGGAAAAAGACAATTCTGTGATTGTCTAATGGATTCTTAACACTTTGGAAATTCTAACTTGGCTTTGAGGAACATTGAAAATAACATATAAGCTACAGAGAAGTGGTTCTTAAGCCTTAGCATGTGTAAAAATCACCTGAGATGCTTTTTAAATATACAGTCTCAAGCTTGCCTCTTAGAGATACTGACTGAATGAGTCTCAGTAGGTTTCCAGGATTTGCGTTTGAAACAAAAAAAAAAACCCAAGTGGTTCTTTTAATTCAAGTTGCAGGTGGGTTTTGAAAAATTATGACAGTAGATACTACATCCTCTCTGTCTCATTTCAATATAATTATTTGCAATCACATTACACTATACGTTCAATCTTCTAGTCTGAAATGCAAATGGAAATTATTTTTTTAATACATATGTGAGGCTTCAGTGCTCCAGCAGACAGAAAACAGGGAGTGCAGAGGACAACACTGCCTTCAGCTCGGTCCCAGTCTTCCCGAAGCCATCCAAATTGGAGTCACTTGTGATCCTCCCCACCCAGCTCTTGCCCAAGGAAAGGTCAACCAGGATACAGAGAGAGGGCTCTGGTGAAAGGGGGCAACAGCTGTGCCATGGCATAGTGCATGTGGGTACCTGGCATTTGGGCATTAGTTCTTCTTCCTTGTATAATTCAGAAAAGCTATTCTCATTCTCAAGTGCAGAACTAAGAGGGACTCTTTTTTTCCATTTTTAGCCTGAAAAGTAAAATGTAATCTGAGCACATTGATGAAGAAAATGGAGTTTAATGTGCCCAACCCGGATTGCAATTCCGTCTATTTAGGTCTAATGTTTACCAATTTCAGTAACTTGACACTGAAGACAGATTATGATTTTGGCATCCCACCTGGCTTTGAATCCTGGTTCTGCCAGTTACAGCTTATGCCATCTTAAGCAAGTCACTCTTCCCTCTAACTTTACAGAATCTACCTCTATAGAAGGAAAACATGTCATCTCCTTTGTGGAGTTGTTACCAAGATTAAATAGCACAGTAGAGGTCTATATTTGAATTTACAATGTGTGTCCTTTCTCCTCAACAAGAAAAGGAATAACATGGACTAGGCTGGTATTTATAAAATGATAGGAAACACTTTTTATAAAAATGTTAAATTTGTTGAACTGTTGTTGAAATATATTAACTAGAGCTGAGAAAAATGGGAAGAATAGGTACTATAAGAAAAAAAAATAGATCCAAGAACATTTGTAAGAATCACCCAGAAAGTAGATTCTCCATAATATAATTGCTAACATTTTATGAGTCATAAAAATATATCAGTTTGTTATTTTTAAAATTGAAAGTGACTTTATTACTAAAGAGCAATAAAAGAGTGGATTTTCAGAGAGCTTTGCACAGCCTTTTGACCAGTACAACAGTGGCCCAGGCTGAAGTAATCACTCCTTTGATGTGAATTCTGCCAATCTCTTCCAGAACATTATATTTGCTCTCTTGAGTAGGAGCAACTCTTGCTGTCCCATATTTATGTCAACACTTCTAGCCTTTTCGAGTGACAATTTCATGCCAGATTATACAGGTTACAACCAAACATTCGCTATATATCAAAGAGAAATTCCAAGTAAGAGGGATAGATTTCATCTTTTGAGGAAGAGGGAACAATAACAACAAAAAACAAAGTAAAATCAGCACCAAGAATGACCCAGCCATGAGTTTATCATGAGTTTGAGAAAACCAGACCCTCTGATATCCTTGTCATCACCCTTGCTATATATGTGTTTGCAGGCAGAGGAGTAATGCAGAGAGCAAGTGTGATGGAGCACTCAGCAAGTGTGATGGAGCACTCACTTGTTAATGAGAAAAACAACATCTACCAATTGAACAATTCCCCCAAGAACTTGTTTTCTGGAAAGAAAATGCAATTCCTTTCCTGGATTTATCTTGAAAGGCATAACAAAAACAGGTGAGCAATAATGTTTGGGAAATAAATACTCTTTTTCTATTTACATGGCAAAGGACTTAATATTTCAGCATTTCTTTTGTTGTTACAATCACACACCTGCAGCTCAGTTTCCATTGTACACTGGACTCAGCAGCCTGAATTCCTCATAACCCATATTGACACCATCCAAAATGGTACCTCTCTTTTTAGTATATTTTTCCCTGTGAAATTCCCATGTGCTGAAATTATTTGTTCCTTGAACAGTGTATCAACTTTCACTGAGTCTCCTAGAACCTTTTTTGATTGAAGTTTGTAGAACATGGAGCTCAACTGAAGAAAAATGGTCTCATTGCTACAGAAATGCTGTAGTTTATATTTTGCCCAAATTTATCTCAGTAATCATATCTCAGTCTGTGCTGTACTTTCTTTGTTGGATATAATCTTTACTAATCAGTGAAAGGTTATATGAGGTGAAAGAACACTAGAGATAGGTGCCAAGTACTGATTCTATCTCAGGAGGTAGCTTTCATTACTTGAACTGACTTCACTTCAAGTGGAGGATTTATAGGAACCCAATCTGTGAATATTACCCTATGTCATTCCCGAGTTAAGGAAGAGCAAACATATTCTAACCAAATACAATTTTTTTCATGTTTAATATACCATAACACATAAATTAAGATATAATAATAGAGAATCATCTATTTGGTTCAGAATTGTATACTCTCCCAGTTCCATGTGAGTTACCAATCAGCCTTCAGTATCTTGATAATTGTTTTAACGAAATAAATGTATTGAGCAGCAGTGAACATATGTAGGAAATTCTTTAATAACGTATCAGTATAATATACTTGCAGCATAAAATAACACCCTGGACCAACTACATAAAACTACAGCCCATGAAAGTGAATTTGTGCAACTAATGCATGAATATTGACAGAACTTAAATGCAATCATTTGATTGTCACAAACATCAAATATGAGGTGGAAGTCTACCATGATAAACATATTTTTAAAAAATTAAGGACAGAATTACTAACAATATTGAAATTATTGGAACAACTTACTGTCTTAAGTTTTCAATCATTTTTTCCATTGCTTCTTCCCAGCAGTATGCCTTAACAGATTGGATATTTTCAATCATTTCTGAGGTAATCACAAGTCTTTCACTGATCTTCCCAGCTCTCTGATCTCTGTAAATCAATCAATCAATCAATCAATCAATCTAATAGTAAAAACAAGTCAAATTATCTATTAAGAACTGCTCAAGGTTTTAAGTCATATTTCTTTTATTCAACAGATGGGCATTATTTTATTATCAAATAGATGGTAACAAAAATAATAACTACTGTTTGGTAAATGCCTCCTATGTGCCAGACGCTGTACAGACTCATTCCATATGCTATCTCTATCCCTTATGACAGCCTATGAGCGGTGGGTATCTCTATTTTAGAGATGAAAAAAGCAAAGACTCAGTGAGGTGAAGTGGCTTGACTAAGGTCACATAACTAGTAAGCATGCAATCTGGGATTCAAACAAAGTGCTATTTGACTCCAAAACTTAGATACTTTCTGTCATACTCTAGCTGACAAACTCAAGCCCTTTATCCTAAGCAGTGACTTGTGTAAGTCATTCATTCACTCATATTAGTTATTCTGTAACACAAAGTAACTAAGGCTCTGGTGTGATGATCCATAAACCAGAGTAGTAAAAGCTAATAAACTCTACACAAAAATTAGGTATTCCCTTTAATTCACATAAATGTTTTATCCTTTTTTACCTGTTTTATAATCTACAAAAATGAACTGAATCAACATATTTATAAAGAAATTCTAGAGACTGACAAGTAAAAAATGTACCATTGATACAGAAAGTAATATTTACACCATCTTAAAAAGTATTTTTTAGGCCGGGCGCGGTAGCTCATGCCTGTAATATCAGTACTTTGGGAGGCCGAGGTGGGCGGATCACCTGAGGTCAGGCATTCGAGACCAGCCTGGGCAACCTGGTGAAACCCTGTCTCTACTAAAATACAAAAATTAGCTGGGTGTGGTGGCATGCGCCTCTAATCCCAGCTACTCCGGAGGCTGAGGCAGGAGAATTGCTTGAGCCTGGGAGGCAGAAGTTGCAGTGCAGTGAGCCAAGATCGTGCCACTGCACTCCAGCCTGGGTGACAGATCTAGACTCTGTCTCAAAAAAAAAAAAAAAAAAAAAATTTAATGACACTGAAGATCACTGTTCTATGCATAGAGCAGTCCTGGTTTTACTAAAGTGGGCTTTTTGAAAACATAATTTTTAAAACTTTCAAGTTATGAAAATAGGTTGCTACCTGTACTTCATCATCATTCTCCCTAGCCCAGCCTGAAAAAGGGCAAGGACTATCAGGAAACCAAGTCCACAGAAGGCAGACGCCTGTAACAACTCCCAGATTAGCCCCATGAGGAGTGCCACTTGCAAAGGAGCGATCCACACGAAATGTGCCAATGCAAGTCCCTGGAAAATAAAAGCACAGCAAAAACAGGTGTCATTGTATCTTCCACCCCTAGAAACTAACAATCATATATGAAAGAAAGCAAGTAAAAGGAGCTTATATGATCAAACACTTCGTGGTTCTGAGCACACTAAAATCTAGGTAATCATTACATGGAGCACATAGCAATGTGCTTAAACATTCTACACATAGAATCGGTTTTCCCAAAAAACAAATTTCAAGTCAGTGCATTTTTAAGCATATTTTTATTCAGTGGAATCAAGATTGGACATCTTAAGTATCATGTCCAGGTTTTAAGTAACTTACTTCTTTTTGCATAAAGCAAGAACCACAGCATAGAACATGAGAGAACAAAGAACTCTCTCCAGGGACTTAATCCACACAACCACACTCTGTCATTTGACAGAGACATTTAGAATAAATATTTGCTCAATTCAACAGTAATTAATTTTGTACCAGCTGTGGGTCCAATGCTGTTTTAAGTAATGGATATGCAAAGATAAATAAAACACATTATCTGTCCCAAGGACCTTGAATTTATTTTTCACATAAGACAACCCAGAACAAGAATTGCTCAGGTATCATATCTGGCCAAAGTACATAACAGATTTAAAGTTTTAAAAAGAAGCAAGGTCTGATAAGAATTAAGTTTTGAAAAATCTTATTAACAACAGGCTAAGGTGCCTTTGAGTTGGGTGGTTCTACCAGACCCCAGAATGGTGCTCTGCTATACAATTGACCTTTCTTAGTTTCCAGAATAGGGAAGCTAGAGCTGAGCAAGACTTAACCACTAATTACTATTATCTGACCCAGGAAAACTCCGCCTTTCCAGTTGTATAATTTATAACAATAGTGCCTAAAAGATTAAATCAATAGGTACATACTTCATCAAATTTGTTCAGGTTGTTGGAAAGGAGACTAACAAGTTGTCCAATACTTATTTTATCTAGAACACGGCTTGACAGCTTTAAAGTCTAAAAGAAAAATGGAAAGTTAGATAATTTCAACAAACAAAATACAAATATATTATAAGTAAAATTATAATATGACTAATTCAGTTATTATGCATTCATTATTAAGTAAAGGTAATGAAAATTATATTCTATTCATCTAGCTTACTATCTTCTCAGGTTCATAAATGTTTCTTTCAACAGTCAATATTATACTGGCATGCTTCTAGTTGTTTTATTTCCCAGCATCTAGGCAGAAATAATTATTTTTTCTCCTCACAATGAGAATGATATTATACTTAAATACCCATTGATATTGTGCGGGAGTTTTTTGTTTTGTTTTAAAAGATAGAGCCAAAGGCAGTGAAATTTGAAATTAAGCCTTGGCCTTGAATTTTTCATGTAGTCCTATACTAACTCTTTTGAATAAAATTACTTTTAAGTCAATAAAAGTATATGATGAATAACTGAATAATTAATACTTTTGTAAAAAAGTTTATTAATACAAAATTCTTAAATTTTACAAAGAAAAATGCAATGCTATATGAAACGTAGTTAAGCAGGTAAATTATTTTTTATCTACTTATTTATCTACCAATTAAATTTACTTAATTAAAATTATAAAGTTGACAAATTAATTATGATTATGGAAAACCAGAGTCATACTTTGCCTATAAAACTGAAGAATTGATTTGCTATTAGATCACTTTGACTGGGAATTATCTAATATTAGTTTCAAGTGAATCCCTCACATATTTGTTGAGCATTTAGTAAATGCAAATCACTGTACTTGATGCCTCAGGGATTATTAAGATTTATGAAAACACAATCCCTTCTTCAAGGCGACCTAGTATATAAATAACTAAATATAATATGATAGATGAGTTAAGGAAGTAGAAAGTAATAGGGTAGTTAAAAGGAAGTTAAAACTCCTGGTTAGAAAAATCATCTGGAAGGATTTTCTTGAGGAGTTAGAATTTGAGATGGTGTAGAATAATAAATAGTGTATAGACAAGCAGAGAAAAGAAGGAATCAAGGCAGTTAATTCCAAAACATTATCAGAGCAATATGAAGTGGGGGAAATCCACTGAGCTAAATTGCACATAACTTAGTAACAGGCTTAATCTCGAGTGACTTTGAGTTCTGCACAAGGCTTAACATAGAGCTGTGTGCACAGTAAGGACTCAATGAATATTTTTATTAATTTAGTTATCTCTGCATTCTTGAAAAGTATAGGCAAAGCTCAAGTTTGTTTGTATTTAAATTCATTATTTAAAGTAAAATGTTGCAGAATTTGGAACAAAGCAGAGAAGAGCTCTATTACAAACTTTGGAACATTGTAGGAAAGGTCCCACATATCCTGGCCATGAGGACAAAACAGGTCAGATATGGGAAAGCATGAGACCTGGGAAAAGTAAACACAAGGTTTACTTTAGGGAGCAAACCAAAGCCACACGGAGATGGGATTGCCTTCTTTGGTGATGATGCCATTGTAGGCCAATAAGTGTGGCTAGAGAGATGAAGCAAACTGGGCAAGAACACAGATATGCAACATTGAGAAAGGAAGACAGATACAATACCACCTAACTTTTTATCAATGCAGCTGGGTCTGAAAGCACCTATATCCTGTATTTGTGCTAAATGTTACATATGGACATGTTTACAAACTAACCTGCCCCTTATTTGATCTCTACACCCGTTTAGCCCATGCCTGTCTCTTCCCGCATTACAGTCTGACCACTAAATATCAGTACTCTATTGTCCCTAGTGGTTGGACAACCCTCCAGTTTAGAGATCGTGATTTACCTATTTTAGAAATTTTGAAGCAGTGTTCACACCATGTTCTGTACTTTTTAAATCTTAGTTTACTTATCCATAAGATAGGGATAATAGTACCTACCATTAATAGTTGTGCAGAAGATCAAATGAGATAGTGTACCCAATCGCTTAAAAGCTTGTCATGCACATCCTGAGCTATTATCATTATGATAACAAGCACTTTCTATAAACATTTATTAAACTGAATTCAACCTTCTCTGATATGCCAACTGTGTAGATTCCACATTCCAAATGATATCTAACAAAGTCTTCACTTACGTAAAATGTTCAGATTGAAATAAAACATTTGTTGACTTATCACATGTTTTGCTGGTACTTGTGAACTGATGAGATTGTAGCTGAGGTGATAACTGTGGACTCTGTTTTTTTTGTTTTTTTTTTTTAACTTCTGCCTTCATAAAAGGCTTTTTTGAACAATAAAGTATGGTTATCAAGGTTTTACAACACAATTGACCTTGCAGGTATATCTTAGAAGTGTTATGGGTTATTTGCTAGAGGCAGATTTCAGATCTATGCTCTTAAAAGCCAAGTATTTAACATATAATGTTTTTACATTGATAAAAGAAAAGAGAGAAGAAGGGTAAAGCAATATCCAAATAAGTCCATCAAAACAGCTTTTTATAATGACTTTGCAGATCCAAGTTAGTAACACATGGTAGTGAATCAGGATGATGCAAGCACATGCCTTTGAAACAACCTTGAATTGTGGTTGTAAGGTAGCTAAATGTTAATTAGAATTCACCTAAATGATGCCTCGGCAATTTGGTCTCTTGTCTGGACAATACATGCAGAAAAGCAGAGTAGGTTCTTATGGGTTCAATGCACGTGCTGTTCCAAAAACTTTAAATTTGTAGGGCTCATAGGATGATAAAAATCCAACTCAAAATAAGGCGGTGGATACTACTACTTATGACAACCAGTTAAGGTGAAATCTTTTGTTGTTTGGGTTATCATTAACAATCATATATTATACTCTTCTTGCTGAACATAAAGATATGTGGCATTTTACTATAAGATGATATTTTGTCAATTACTTTTATGTAGGCTGTGTGAGTCATCTTAACAGGAAACCATGGATTCCAAAAAAATGATAACATGATTAGGAGAAAAAAAAAACTACAACAGAGGCAGTTTACAGAAGATACTCAATAATTATCAGTTTAAGTCAATTAAATTATCAAGGATAATTAAGAGCATTAATTATTCCTGCCATTTATTTAATAGGCATATTAAATTAATTTCAGCATTTATCCCTTACTTGTACCAGCTCACTACCTAATTTATGACATTAAAACATGTACGATACAGAATATATGTGCCATGGGGCCTGTGCAAGGAAGTATTACCTTCTTATAAATCAAACTAAACATAGCTATTCTCATCTGCATTCCAATGTGATGAAGGCCAAAAATGGCTGGGTGTAGGAGCAGTGTCCTCACAATAAAGAGAAGGCATAAGCCTATGCCTAGATAAATCGCGATAGAGCGTTCCTCCTTGTTATCCGGGTCATAGGAAGCTATGATTCTTCCCAGTAAGAGAGGCTGTACTGCTTTGGTGACTTCCTACAAAAGGGGAAAAACAGAGAAATTAAATTTCATTTATTTCTCATAAAATACCCTGAGAATTTCAACACAAGACTTTTCATCTTTAGAGGAGACTTAAAATGAGTTTATATAGAGGGTCATACCATATGTGAAACTCTTAGCACTATTTTCAATATCTTGGTACTTTGAAATAAGACTTGGGATTTGTTATAGCAACAGTGGGAGACAAGTTTACATATGAGGTATTTTAAGTTAAACAGTGAATAGTGGCCATAAAATAAAAAGTATAGTTTCTGAAATGGTTTGTTAATTAGTAACATCTACATAGCACTTAACAGTTTCTAAAGCATTTCCCTTTTTTATTTTTCATAACAACTTTCAGTATCAGAGTAGGCTTTTTTTTTGTTTACTATAGAGACTTTCTTTGCTACAGAGTAGGCATTATTATTTTCACATGGCAGATGAAGAAACTGAGGCCACACAGACCAAGTGACCTGATGTAATTTCAAACTAGAACTTTCAAAAGTGTTTTGTGCAATGGCATTATTTTCAGAATGAACTTAGCTTCTCAAGGCAACTACACAAAGCAGAGCTGGGAATGGGAGGGAGGAGCACACCAGCACTAGCGGTATTTAAAATCAGCCACTTCCAATGCTAGTCCCTTCTCAGTCAGCAATAGGAATGGACTTTGGGGAAGGAGTTTTGCCAGCAGCCTCAACCTCAGGCCAGATTCCAATGACTCCTGGACTCCTCAAAGGCCCGTGAGTCAATGAGAGAGAGCGGAAGTTATGTTTTCCCAAATATACCTCATCAGGGTCCTCAATCGACTACTAAACCAAATTGTCCATCGAATTTATTACCACTTCTCCTGAATATACAGGAATAGATCTGAATCCAGGGATTTTGAACTCAGGAGGTCTAATTCTTACCCATCTTGTTACATTGGCTTCAAAAGGGAAGGACACATAATTCCTCATTTTGTTTTATAACGATTTAGTAAAATAGGGATCAGAGGGTAACCCTGAGAGGAAATGATGCTATGATAATTGGTTCCATTTAAAATATATATTTCCAAGAAAGACTGCAGCCTACCCCTGGTATTGCCAAGCATTATTCTGCCTCATCCCTTAATTTGAGGGGTTTTTGTCCATTTTCTACAATGTATTTTCTAAACCTCAAGTATCCAATACCTCCAGCCCCATCATTCTCAATAGATGACCATGCTTTCTACATCAATGTCATCCCCACAAGAAACCCTAACCCATATAGAGCTGTCATTGATTGAGCAGCTTTGTGTAGCTGCTCATTCTGTGCTTTATATACAATGTTTTATTTTTAATTAACTATGTCAACCAAGGCTCTGAATGCAAGAAAACATTCAAACTTTTTTTTTTTTTTTTTTTATACTCTAAGTTTTAGGGTACATGTGCACATTGTGCAGGTTAGTTACATATGTATACATGTGCCATGCTGGTGCGCTGCACCCACTAACGTGTCATCTAGCATTAGGTATATCTCCCAATGCTATCCCTCCCCCCTCCCCCGACCCCACCACAGTCCCCAGAGTGTGATATTCCCCTTCCTGTGTCCATGTGATCTCATTGTTCAATTCCCACCTATGAGTGAGAATATGCGGTGTTTGGTTTTTTGTTCTTGCGATAGTTTACTGAGAATGATGGTTTCCAATTTCATCCATGTCTCTACAAAGGACATGAACTCATCATTTTTTATGGCTGTATAGTATTCCATGGTGTATATGTGCCACATTTTCTTAATCCAGTCTATCATTGTTGGACATTTGGGTTGGTTCCAAGTCTTTCCTATTGTGAATAGTGCCGCAATAAACATACGTGTGCATGTGTCTTTATAGCAGCATGATTTATAGTCCTTTGGGTATATACCCAGTAATGGGATGGCTGGGTCAAATGGTATTTCTAGTTCTAGATCCCTGAGGAATCGCCACACTGACTTCCACAATGGTTGAACTAGTTTACAGTCCCACCAACAGTGTAAAAGTGTTCCTATTTCTCCACATCCTCTCCAGCACCTGTTGTTTCCTGACTTTTTAATGATTGCCATTCTAACTGGTGTGAGATGATATCTCATAGTGGTTTTGATTTGCATTTCTCTGATGGCCAGTGATGATGAGCATTTCTTCATGTGTTTTTTGGCTGCATAAATGTCTTCTTTTGAGTAGTGTCTGTTCATGTCCTTCGCCCACTTTTTGATGGGGTTGTTTGTTTTTTTCTTGTAAATTTGTTTGAGTTCATTGTAGATTCTGGATATTAGCCCTTTGTCAGATGAGTAGGTTGCGAAAATTTTCTCCCATGTTGTAGGTTGCCTGTTCACTCTGATGGTAGTTTCTTTTGCTTTGCAGAAGCTCTTTAGTTTAATTAGATCCCATTTGTCAATTTTGGCTTTTGTTGCCATTGCTTTTGGTGTTTTGGACATGAAGTCCTTGCCCACGCCTATGTCCTGAATGGTAATACCTAGGTTTTCTTCTAGGGTTTTTATGGTTTTAGGTCTAACGTTTAAATCTTTAATCCATCTTGAATTGATTTTTGTATAAGGTGTAAGGAAGGGATCCAGTTTCAGCTTTCTACATATGGCTAGCCAGTTTTCCCAGCACCATTTATTAAATAGGGAATCCTTTCCCCATTGCTTGTTTTTCTCAGGTTTGTCAAAGATCAGATAGTTGTAGATATGCGGCGTTATTTCTGAGGGCTCTGTTCTGTTCCATTGATCTATATCTCTGTTTTGGTACCAGTACCATGCTGTTTTGGTTACTGTAGCCTTGTAGTATAGTTTGAAGTCAGGTAGCGTGATGCCTCCAGCTTTGTTCTTTTGGCTTACGATTGACTTGGCGATGCGGGCTCTTTTTTGGTTCCATATGAACTTTAAAGTAGTTTTTTCCAATTCTATGAAGAAAGTCATTGGTAGCTTGATGGGGATGGCATTGAATCTGTAAATTACCTTGGGCAGTATGGCCATTTTCACGATATTGATTCTTCCTACCCATGAGCATGGAATGTTCTTCCATTTGTTTGTGTCCTCTTTTATTTCCTTGAGCAGTGGTTTGTAGTTCTCCTTGAAGAGGTCCTTCACATCCCTTGTAAGTTGGATTCCTAGGTATTTTATTCTCTTTGAAGCAATTGTGAATGGGAGTTCACTCATGATTTGGCTCTCTGTTTGTCTGTTGTTGGTGTATAAGAATGCTTGTGATTTTTGTACATTGATTTTGTATCCTGAGACTTTGCTGAAGTTGCTTATCAGCTTAAGGAGATTTTGGGCTGAGACGATGGGGTTTTCTAGATAAACAATCATGTCGTCTGCAAACAGGGACAATTTGACTTCCTCTTTTCCTAATTGAATACCCTTTATTTCCTTCTCCTGCCTGATTGCCCTGGCCAGAACTTCCAACACTATGTTGAATAGGAGCGGTGAGAGAGGGCATCCCTGTCTTGTGCCAGTTTTCAAAGGGAATGCTTCCAGTTTTTGCCCATTCAGTATGATATTGGCTGTGGGTTTGTCATAGATAGCTCTTATTATTTTGAAATACGTCCCATCAATACCTAATTTATTGAGAGTTTTTAGCATGAAGGGTTGTTGAATTTTGTCAAAGGCTTTTTCTGCATCTATTGAGATAATCATGTGGTTTTTGTCTTTGGCTCTGTTTATATGCTGGATTACATTTATTGATTTGCGTATATTGAACCAGCCTTGCATCCCAGGGATGAAGCCCACTTGATCATGGTGGATAAGCTTTTTGATGTGCTGCTGGATTCGGTTTGCCAGTATTTTATTGAGGATTTTTGCATCAATGTTCATCAAGGATATTGGTCTAAAATTCTCTTTTTTGGTTGTGTCTCTGCCCGGCTTTGGTATCAGAATGATGCTGGCCTCATAAAATGAGTTAGGGAGGATTCCCTCTTTTTCTATTGATTGGAATAGTTTCAGAAGGAATGGTACCAGTTCCTCCTTGTACCTCTGGTAGAATTCGGCTGTGAATCCATCTGGTCCTGGACTCTTTTTGGTTGGTAAACTATTGATTATTGCCACAATTTCAGAGCCTGTTATTGGTCTATTCAGAGATTCAACTTCTTCCTGGTTTAGTCTTGGGAGAGTGTATGTGTCGAGGAATGTATCCATTTCTTCTAGATTTTCTAGTTTATTTGCGTAGAGGTGTTTGTAGTATTCTCTGATGGTAGTTTGTATTTCTGTGGGATTGGTGGTGATATCCCCTTTATCATTTTTTATTGTGTCTATTTGATTCTTCTCTCTTTTTTTCTTTATTAGTCTTGCTAGCGGTCTATCAATTTTGTTGATCCTTTCAAAAAACCAGCTCCTGGATTCATTGATTTTTTGAAGGGTTTTTTGTGTCTCTATTTCCTTCAGTTCTGCTCTGATTTTAGTTATTTCTTGCCTTCTGCTAGCTTTTGAATGTGTTTGCTCTTGCTTTTCTAGTTCTTTTAATTGTGATGTTAGGGTGTCAATTTTGGATCTTTCCTGCTTTCTCTTGTAGGCATTTAGTGCTATAAATTTCCCTCTACACACTGCTTTGAATGCATCCCAGAGATTCTGGTATGTGGTGTCTTTGTTCTCGTTGGTTTCAAAGAACATCTTTATTTCTGTCTTCATTTCGTTATGTACCCAGTAGTCATTCAGGAGCAGGTTGTTCAGTTTCCATGTAGTTGAGCGGCTTTGAGTGAGATTCTTAATCCTGAGTTCTAGTTTGATTGCACTGTGGTCTGAGAGATATCCAGCCAAACTAAGCTTCATAAGTGAAGGAGAAATAAAATACTTTATAGACAAGCAAATGCTGAGAGATTTTGTCACCACCAGGCCTGCCCTAAAAGAGCTCCTGAAGGAAGCGCTAAACCTGGAAAGGAACAACCAGTACCAGCCACTGCAAAATCATGCCAAAATGTAAAGACCATCGAGACTAGGAAGAAACTGCATCAACTAATGAGCAAAATCACCAGCTAACATCATAATGACAGGATCAAATTCACACATAACAATATTAACTTTAAATATAAATGGACTAAATGCTCCAATTAAAAGACACAGACTGGCAAATTGGATAAAGAGTCAAGACCCATCAGTGTGCTGTATTCAGGAAACCCATCTCACGTGCAGAGACACACATAGGCTCAAAATAAAAGGATGGAGGAAGATCTACCAAGCCAATGGAAAACAAAAAAAGGCAGGGGTTGCAATCCTAGTCTCTGATAAAACAGACTTTAAACCAACAAAGATCAAAAGAGACAAAGAAGGCCATTACATAATGGTAAAGGGATCAATTCAACAAGAGGAGCTAACTATCCTAAATATTTATGCACCCAATACAGGAGCACCCAGATTCATAAAGCAAGTCCTGAGTGACCTACAAAGAGACTTAGACTCCCACACATTAATAATGGGAGACTTTAACACCCCACTGTCAACATTAGACAGATCAACGAGACAGAAAGTCAACAAGGATACCCAGGAATTGAACTCAGCTCTGCACCAAGCAGACCTAATAGACATCTACAGAACTCTCCACCCCAAATCAACAGAATATACATTTTTTTCAGCACCACACCACACCTATTCCAAAATTGACCACATAGTTGGAAGTAAAGCTCTCCTCAGCAAATGTAAAAGAACAGAAATTATAACAAACTATCTCTCAGACCACATTCAAACTTTTAAAAAGTTTCCAAACTAATCACAAACCTGGAATATTATAGTTCTCTCATCTCACATAGCCACATTTTAAATGTGAGTTTGAATGATAGCAGACAGGCAGGTGCTAAAAAGAAAATTGCCAACCTCCTATCCAAATATTACATGTTAACTGTTTGCTATATCTACTGAAATATTTTTGAAAAGTAAGTACACAAATGACTGCATAGTGTATATTATTTTATGTATGTTTTGTACTTCTATTACATATATGTTCATCTTTAGAATATATATCAAAGAAGAATGGTTTTTGAGGTTTTTAAATTTTATATAAATAACATCCTACTGTGCTTTTTACAACTTTTTAAAAACTTAACACTGTGTTTTTCACATTTATCCCTATTGATACTTGTATAACCAACTCATTTATTCTAAGCACTGCCTAACATGCCACCCTGTGAATAAATCGGGATATTTGCCCATTGCCATACATTGGAGCAGTTGTGTTGTTTTTCACTCCTAAGCTACTGCAATCAGTGAAAGTGCTGCCCTGGATGTTTTTTACAAAGTTCCATATGTATTTGCCAACCTTTCTCTAGATTCGAGGATTTTTTTTTCAAAATAACTTTTTTAAATTAGGAAAATGTACAATTAAGGTAAATCTTGGATTTAAAATTATAAATATATCTGCATTACAAACATAATTGCTCATAGTATGCTTACAATGGCAATATTTAATCCTTAAAATTATTTTAGATCAATATTTTACCCCAGAATTGTTCTATATTATGTTGTTTTTCA
Source organism: Homo sapiens (assembly GCF_000001405.40). Lineage (NCBI taxonomy): Eukaryota > Metazoa > Chordata > Mammalia > Primates > Hominidae > Homo > Homo sapiens. The sequence goes on along the minus strand of NC_000007.14, from coordinate 117,524,445 downwards.
TAGACAAATGTCAATACCATCAATTTACTTTGATTTGGTTTTTTTTTTTTTTTCATGACTAGTGGGTTTGTACTTGGCCAAAATGCTCTCTTGAGTTGCAGTCAAGGCCACTGGATTTACATGTGCTATCTATGTTAGAAGTATCACATGTGATCATGAAGCAGAGAGCAAGGGGCATTATTTACCATGCATACCAGACAAAGCATCATTTCTTGTTCACTGTAAGACAGTAACGGGAAAGGTATGACCTGTGAACACTGCTTATAAAGTCAATTCTTTATATCATGATTAGCATAATCACATTTCTCCCCTTTCAGAACTCATTTATCTGCTAATATATATCTATACAGACATACGATAAATACAGAAAGACTGGATAGACTATCTCAAAGAATATAGAACTACTGATAAACAATACATTGCAAAGCAAGTATGCAAATATTTTAAAAAGTAACTTGTGTCTATAGGATGCTAAAAAGAAGCTTCTGAGAAAAAAAGAGAAATATTTTAGCAACCAAGCTAAATTTTAGCACAGAATTTTTCAAGTTACAAGTGTAAAGACTTGTATAAGATTTTTTTATTTTGAGTAATGTGAAATAAAATCTCTTCCACTGGATTTCTCCATTATATTTTCCAGATCACAATAGACTTTTCCCTACCACAACAGACTTATTTGCTGAATTTTTATTCAGTTGTAATTTACAACAAAACACAATTAAAATGTGTATTAATTTGAGTGGAATGCCTTTTTAAAAAATTCAGAGACAGGGGCCGGGCGCGGTGGCTCACGCCTGTAATCCCAGCACTTTGGGAGGCCGAGGCAGGAGGATCACAAGGTCAGGAGATCAAGACCGTCCTGGCTAACACAGTGAAACCTCGTCTCTACTAAAAATACAAAAAATTTAGCTGGGCGTGGAGGCGGGCGCCTGTAGTCCTAGCTACTCGGGAGGCTGAGGCAGGAGAATGGCGTGAACCCAGGAGGCGGAGCTTGCAGTGAGTGGAGATCGCGCCACTGCACTTCAGCCTGGGTGACAGAGCAAGACTCTGTCTCAAAAAAAAAAAAACAAAAAACAAAACAAAACAAAAATTCAGAGACAGTCTTGCTTTGTTGCTTGGGCTGGAGTGCAAGGGCTATTCATAGGTGCCATCACAACACACTACAGCCTCAAATCCATAGATCAACAGATCCTCCTGCTTTAGCCTCTCAAGTAGCTGGGATTACAGGCTCATGCCACCATACCTGGTTTGTAATACCTATTTTACATGTCATTACTGAGTTTGTTGTCATCTTTCCTCAACCGAAGAGGACATAGTCATCCTTTGAACAACAGTAGCTATTTCACAAAGAACTGGTAGCATTACTCTGGAAGGGCATGTTTACAAACTAAAATGCAGTTTATTTTCGGTATGAAAAATTCTAATAATAAGATCATCTGCAAACAGCAAACCAACATAAACCTCACCACCACATGGAGCTGTTACCATTCAAGGACAAAATTAGCACTCCGAAACCCCACCCCTTCTATAGTTTTCCCTAATCTGTTTTAAGCATCATGTTCTTTAATATTTACAATGGAACCATTTACAGATATCACCTGATTTTTTTTTTATTTGGAAAAAACACTGGTAACTGATACCTAGCTTAACCTATGAAGTGCAATCCTTCACAAAAATTATCCCCAGAATGACTGGGAGAAACATAGTCCCTATATTCTTGGTACAAGAAAGCTGACTGTACTCCATTACTCAGAGTATTTTCAGAGACACAAGAAGCGTCCTGATTTGCTACCACATGAAATAGTACAAGCAAACTTAGGCTTGCATGTAAGAAGGAGGAATGTATAATTATTTGGATATTTAATAAAATAGTTTATTACTCTGTATCAGACACAAATCAAGATGGAATTCACTTAATGGCTCACTTCAATAATAGAAGAAGCCTGATACCAACGTGTAAGCCAGCGTGATGGTGAAATAAACACTGAATTCAAAATCGTGAATTCCAAATTCTTATCCAGCACATTACCTACATTGGCTGTGTTATTTTAGTCTCTTCCGCGCTCTGGACAGTTTTCCTCACTGATAAACTAAGAGGTGGAGAAAGCTAATTGTGATGTCCCCTCCAGTGCTAACATCTCTGATTATATGATCTGAGTCTGCAGAGTCCCATGGCAGAGGCCAAGAATTCCTTGGGTAATTGTCCTAGCCCTCATCCTGCCATGACTATGGCTGTTTTCTACTCAGAAGGATGAAAGTCTGAACAGTATGAGTTCAGAAGATCATCTGGGTAGAGGGGCTCAGATTAGAAAACAGCTCAAGTGATTGCATTCCTGGTGGGAACAATTTTGTGACTCAATTTAGATCAGCCTCCCAGGGAAAATTTGGAAGACTAAAAATGTCTCCTATATCTTCTAGGAGTTATATCTCATTTCTCACATGTTCTTCAAGACCAGAGCTTCAAAGTTATTGTAGATGAGTCTAAATTCTTTAACCATTTATGGTTAAAAAATTGTAATGCATACCTAAGATAGGATCAAATGTTTAGTCTAGAGATAGGAAAGTCTGCTTTTTCTAGATATTCAAACCATGAAGGAAAGTTCAGGTGAAAAAAATAGAAACCTGAACTCATGCTTGTAATTACACTAAATGAATTAAACCCAGAAAACTTTACTTTAAAAATTACAGTTCTGATCCCAAAGCAGGGTTGTTTCTAAGTAGAATGGTCACTTGGAAAACTTCTAAGGCTACACTGTTTTCTATTGTGTGAGGTCACTTAATAAAATCACCATTATCATTTTAACTTCTTTTAAATATACAGTACTTTATATGTCGTTATTCCAAGAATAATAGGACAGTTTAATTTTGAGAAATTAATTAAAAGAATACAGAAGAACCTATGATTATCTCAGTAACAACTGAAAAGGAATCTGATAAAATTTCAATATGTTTCCAATAAATGTTCTTAATAAACTTGAATATAAAGATACATTATTAACCTGAAAAAGGATTTCTTCCTCAAAATGTTACAATCAATGCCATAATTATAAAAGTCTAGATGCATTACATTTAGAGTCAGGAAAAAACAGAATACTAGCTATTACTACCATTTAACATTTTTCTAGAACTTCTAGCTAATACAACTCAACAAGAAAAATGATCGAGGTACAAATATTGGAAAGAAGCAAGAAGTATTATCAGCATAGAATATGATTGTGTAACAAATGTAAATGAATCAAGAATTTAATAGATCGAGGTTTAAAAAATGACTATGCTAAGAAAATAGATTTCTATATACCAAAAATGACATCTAATTAAATGAGTATCCCATTCATAGTAACAATATAACAAAAGATACAATGTAATAGCAATAAGATATATATCTTAAAATATACATCTCACAAAACATTATTGGGACATATTTTAAAAGTCTCAAATAAATGGAGAGTCTTAAAACTTTCTAAAATGAAGAACTTAATGTTGCAAAGATTACATTCCCCTCCAAGTTATTTTATAAGATTAGTGCAATCTTCATCAACATTTAAAGATTTTTTTGGAAGTGAATTTTTAGCACCGTAAGAGTAGGGACTGTCAGTCTCAATTTTTGCAACAATCCTAATACCATGCACAATACCAAGCACAGAATATCCATTCAACAAATATTTGTTGAATCAATGAATAAAATGATTATAAATTTCATTTGGAAGAAAACTCATCAAAAACATTTGAGGAATAAGAATAATGTGTCAGAGGGTTTACATTACTGGATATTAAATCATAAAGCCATAATAATATGTGACATGACAAAGAAATAGACTGATTTATCTCAAAAGTCCAGGAACATGTCCAAGCACATGTAATACTTTAATATATTATAAAATACGGCATTTTAATTCAGTGGAGAAAGAGATCATGCAATAAATGATGGACAAACTGGATACTCATCTTTTTGAAATTAGATTTCTACCTCATACATGCATCACAATGAATTCTAAATAGAGTAGATATTTAAATGTAAAAGATGAAGTAATAAAAACATAGATGCATGCTTACATAATATTTGGGTGGCATGGGCCTTTATAAAAGAATAATGTCAAAGCAGAAAACAAAGAAAAAGATATATAGATTTGCCAGCAAAATTTTCAAAAATTAAAGCTTTTAATTGTAAAAAAAAAAAAAAAAACTCACTAGAAACAAAATTACAAGGCAATTGACAGGCTAGGGAAAATATTCTCTCATATATCAAGAAAGAGACAAATACAACAAAATAAAAACACACAAAGAACATGAAAGGCAATTCACACACACAAAAAGAAATATAAATGCATAATTAATATACAAAAACAGATTAAACTCACCAGGAACCAAAAGTAATGCAAATGAAAATAATAATATGCTCTTTTTCACTTGGCATTTTTAAAACTTTATTTAAATATCTATTGTTAGGACTGAATTTTCATAGTTTAGTATCAGGAAAGTAAAATAGTAGTGCACCTTTTCTGGAAAGCAATTTATTTGTATTTTTACACTTAGGTAGAGAGTCAAGAACACCTTCTAAGAGTCAGCTTTTAAAGGGGTGTGTACTGAAGGACCTTTTATAGTAATAAAAAAATGGAGGCAATTTACATACTCAATGATGAGGAACTGATTAAATAAATCATGGTACAGCCATATGATTCATGAAAGTAACTAGGTAGAAAAACATCTAATGACATGGAAAGGCATTCACAACACATTAAAGGGAGAAGCAGATTAATATGCACATTATGTAATGATGACTTCTCCCCTTTATTAAGTATAAATTCCCATGGGAAAAAGCTGGAAGGATTAACATCAAATTTACCAGTAATTATCTGATTATTCTGATTATTAATCAGAAGAAAATAAAAATTTGGATAAAAATTTCATACAACTTACAATAATAAATAAAAAGAAAACATGCATACAAAAAATGGAAGAAAGCAAATACACCTACACTCAGAACCCATCATAGGATACAATGAATGCTGGCTTATATACTAAAGCAAAAGTTTAAGATTTTGCTTTTGGCAGGGTAAAAGTGAGTGTCAATTTTTTGTCTATTTTGATACAGCAGAGTCTGACAATAGTTTTTGGGCTCATACAAATTGCTAAGGAAATGAATTTTTCCATATTCATCATAGAAAATAAAAACATATTCACGCTTAATCCACTGAAGAATTAAGAGGTTTGTTTTTAAATATTTCCTTCATTTTGCCACAATTGTTTATAGTTTTTGCAAAAATACACATATACCACACCTAGAACAGAATCTCAGAAAAAAATCTACCTTTCTTTTAGATTCAATGACTAATTCAAAATGCTTTAGTTTTGGTATTTTCCTTTTAGTGCTTACTGATTTTATTAATTATTACTGGTAACATCTTCACTAGAAATCTAAGCTATATTCTTCATATTTTATAAGAAAAAGCCCCTGGATTTGCTGAAATAGCAGCAATAATAGGTTTGGTTCAGATAACACAATAATGAAAGATGTGTTAAAATATTAATTTTAATTTCTAAAGTAATACTAGAATCTAGCTGCCATTTTAAAGCATTAGTAAAATATATTCTTGTGCCTTATAAAAATCAAACTGGTGCTACAAGATTTGCTTATAGCATATATACAGAAATAACTAAATGTAAATAATGAGTATTTGTGCACTTAGGTAGAGAGTCTATTTAAAAAGACAGGGACTGGACTGGGTGCAGTGTCTCATGTCTGAAATCCCAGCACTTCGGGAGTCCAAAGCAGTAGGATCACTTGAGCCCAGGAGTTTGAGACCAGCCTGGGCAACATGATGAGACCCTGTCTCTAAAAATGAAAGGCAGAAAACACACATATATATATATATATATATGTTTTTATATATGTTTTCTATATGTATATATGTTTATATATACATGTTTGCTATTTTCTAACCTATTATTGCTCTATATATTTAAGTCTATGAAAGACATATATATACACATATGTATATGTTAATAATATATAATATAGCCTATTATATATTATAATCATATATATAAATTATTATATTATTTATAGTATTATATATTTATTTAGAATAAATATTACTATATTATTATATAACATATGTTATATACAATTATAATTATAATATATATTGTATTATATATTATAATAATGGGTTAGAGACATATATGTGACATATATATATAGGTTTTATATATATATTCCTTCCATATATTTAAATTGGTGAAAAGGTAATGATGGTCTTTGCCATTACTTTCAATGGTGAAAACCACAATTACTTTTGCACCAACTACATATAGAGTTCCATATATAGAGAGAGCACTTGCTATGTACCAGAATCTATTCTATGTGCTTAATGCATTTAATTCTCACAACAACTCTATAAAACATGTTCTATCCAGCAAAAGAAACTATCATCAGAGTGAACAGGCAACTTACAGAATGGGAGAAAATGTTTGCAATCTATCCACCTGACAAAGGGCTAATATCCAAAATCTACAAGGAACTTAAACAAATTTACAGGAAAAAAACAACCCCATCAAAAAGTGGGGAAAGGATATGAACAGACACTTCTCAAAAGAAGACATTTATGCAGCCAACAAACATGAAAAGAAGCTCATCATCACTAGTCATTAGAGAAATGCAAATCAAAACCACAATGAGATACCATCTCACACCAGTTAGAATGGTGATCATTAAAAAGTCAGGAAACAACAGATGCTGGAGCGGATGTGGAGAAATAGGAATGCTTCTACACTGTTGGTGGGAGTGTAAATTAATTCAACCATTGTGGAAGACAGTGTGGCGATTCCTCAAGAATCTAGAACCAGAAATACCATTTGACCCAGCAATCCCATTACTGGGTACATACCCAAAGGATTATAACTTATTTGACTAGAAAGACATATGCTTATGTATGTTCATTGCTGCAGCGTTCACAATAGCAAAGACTTGGAACCAACCCAAATGTCCACCAATGATAGACTGGATAAAGAAAATGTGGCACATATATACCATGGAATACTATACAGCCATAAAAAAGGATGAGTTCATGTCCTTGCAGGAACATGGATGAAGCTGGAAACCATCATTCTCAGCAAACTAACACAAGAACAGAAAACCAAACACCACATGTTCTCACTCATAAGTGGGAGTTGAACAATGAGAACACATGGACACAGGGAGGGGAACATCACACACAGGGGCCTGTGAGGGGGTGGGGAGCAAGGGGAGGGATAGCATTAGGAGAAATACCTAATGTAGATGATGGGCTGATGGATGCAGCGAACCGCCATTGCAATCGCCATCTAGATTGCAAACATTTTCTCCCATTCCGTAAGTTGCCTGTTCACTCTGATGATAGTTTCTTTTCCTGGATAGAACATGTTTTATAGAGTTGTTGATACCTATGTAACAAACCTGCACATTCTGCACATGTATCACACAACTTAAAGTATAATAATAAAAAATAAAAGAAAAAAGAAAAAGAAAAAATGTGCTATCATTATCTCCACTTTACAATAATGAAATTGAGATGAAGAGAATTTAAGTAACCTACCCAAAATCACATGGCTAGTAGCTGGCAAAACTGTGATTTGATAACTTAAAGAGTGTCATTGGATTGTTGGTAACTCAAAAGATAAGTGTTTGAGGGGATGGATACCCCATTCTCTATGATGTGCTTATTTCACATTGCATGCCTATATGAAAACATCACATGTACCCCATAAATATATACATCTACTATGTACCCACAAAAATTAAAAATAAAAATAAACAAAAACTAATATTTGAACTAGACAGTTAGACTCCAAAGTCCCCTCCCCACCGCCACCCTCACTGATAACCCTAAATCAAAAACAAACTGTTATAACACAACCTGGTTACTTCTCAGTTGCTCATCAGTTCACACATTGTTATCAGTTCAACATGACCTAGCAAATTAAGTTATAAGCTAGTATCACTGTAATTTAAGATAAATACCATTTATCTAGGCCCTATCTTATATACACATAATTTAAAAGATGGAAGTGACGGTAAAGATGGTATACTGTACTATAGCTATACTATACAGTTTCCCTCAGTTGTACAGTTAAGGAAACTGAGGTCCAGATAAGTGTTTTTATTTGCTTAAGATCATAAAATAAGTTATGTTATCAGTGCATAAAGCAGATCCCAGCAGAGTTAACAAAAAAAAAATGCTGAACCTTTGGAAACAATGCATACTTAGTGCATCATATATATTTTACTTTGTTTCACCATGTCATATTCATTAGTCATTAAAGGACACTAGTTAGCTAAAATAATGCAAGATGCACCATATTCCTACAAAGGAATGAAAGAACTAATATCTCATCGTCTCATATCCAGTCTAAGTTGCAAAACCATTATCACAAGCAATTTCTAATTTGAAAATAGATTTGGTTCCAAAATTTCACAAATAAGAACAAGAAATGAATTTTGTTTACACCAACAACAGGCAGCAGAGAGGCAAATCAAGAATGAATTCCCATTCACAATCACTACAAAGAGAACAAAATACCTAGGAACACAGCTAACAAAGGATGTGAAAGACCTCTTTAAGGAGAACTACAAACCACTGCTCAAGGAAATAAGAGAGAACACAAACAAATGGAAAAAGTGTCGTCCTTACGGATAGAAAGAATCAATATTGTGAACATGGCTATACTGCCCAAAGTAATTTATAATTTCAATGCTATTCCCATCAAACTACCATTGACATTCTTCACAGAATAAAAAAAAATTATTTTAAATTTCATATGGAATCAAAGAAGACTCCATATAGCCAAGACAATCCTAAGCAAAAAGAACAAAGCTGGAGGCATCACGCTACCAGACTTCAAAATATACTACAAGGCTACGGTAACCAAAACAGCATGGGACTGGTACGATAACAGACATATAGACCAATGGTGCAGAACAGAGACCTCAGAAATAACACCACACATCTACAACCATCTGATCTTCGACAAATCTGACAAAAACAAGCAATGAGGAAAAGATCTCCTATTCAGTAAATGGTGGTGGGAAAACTGCCTAGCCATTATGCATAAAACTGAAACTGGACCCCTTCCTTATACCTTATACAAAAATTAACTCAAGATGTATTAAAGACTTAAATGTAAAACCCAAAACTATAAAAACCCTAGAAGAAAACCTACGCAATACCATTCAGGACATAGGCACGGGCAAAGACTTCACGAGGAAAATGCCAAAAGCAATTGCAAAAAAAGCCAAAATTGACAAATTGGATCTAATTAAACTAAAGAGCTTCTGCACAGCAAAAGAACCTATCATCAGAGTGAACAGGCAACCTACAAAATGGGAGAAAATTTTTGCAATCTATCCATCTGACAAAGATCTAATTTCCAGAATTTACAAGGCACTTAAACAAATTCACAAGAAAAAAAAAACCCTATTAAGGTGGGCAAAGGATATGAACAGACACTTCACAAAAGACATTTACATGGCCAACAAACATATTTTAAAAATCTCAGCATCACTGATCATCAGATAAATGCAAATCAAAACCACAATGAGATACCATCTCATGCCAGTCAGAATAGCAGTTATTAAAATGTTAGGAAACAATAGATGCTGGTGAGGCTGTGGAGAAATAGGAACGCTTTTACACTGTTAGTGGGAGTGTAAATTAGTTCAACCATTGTGGAAGACAGTGTGGCGATTCCTCAAGTATCTAGAACCAGAAATGCCATTTGACCCAGCAATCTCATTACTGGGTATATACCCAAAGTAATATAAATCATTCTACTATAAAGACACATGGACATATATGTTTACTGCAGAACTATTTACAATAGCAAAGACATGGAACCAACCCAAATGCCCATCAATGACAGACTGGATAAAGAAAATGTGGTACATATACATCATGGAATACTATGCAGCCATAAAAAGGAATGAGATCATGTCCTTTGCAGGGACGTGGATGAAGCTGGAAACTATCATCCTCAGCAAATTAACACAGGAACAGAAAATCAAACACCATGTGTTCTCACTCGTAAAAGGGAGTTGAACATTGAGAACAGGTGGACCCAGAGAGGGGAACAACATACACCAGGGCCTGTTGGGAAGTAAGGAGTAGGGGAGGGAACTTAGAGGATGGGTCAATAGGTGCAACAAACTACCATGGCACATTATACCTATGTAACAAACCTGCATGTTCCGCACATGTATCTCGTTGTTGGATTTTTTTTTAGAAGAAAAAATAAAAAAAAAATTAAACTAAACAGTTCTTCCTATGGATACCACTCTCCAATTTCCTCACCTTAGATCTAGCAAAAGTCAAATCATTAAGTGATCATGCTGATGCCTGTCTACAAATAGTTCTCAACTTTGGCTATATAATTAGAATCGCTTGGGGAATATTTCAAGAATGATAGTGTCCCAGGTTTTATCCCAGACCAATTAAATTACATTTTCTGGGGTAGGGCAGAGTTGCATCATGGGAACTAAGGGGAAGATGTACAATGCAGTAGGCAGCACAAGAAAGTGCATCTGTGTTAGAGATGGAGTTTAGGATGGGGTAAAATATTCAGGACATAGGAGATTGTGGGGAGTGCAGTGTCACTCTAGGGTTAGAGAAGCAGCTAGATAAGGGGGTGAGACAGAAAGATGAGAAAGGAATTCTACATGGCAGACATTTAGAAGATTTGCTGGAGATAGCAGTCCCTAGATAGCCAATCACAGGAAGAGATATACATAAATCAAAGTGCCTAAGCCACAGGCTCTCTATGCACAGAATTCCCGAGAGAACACCATCCCTTCTTTAGGGAAGTAAATAAAAATAGTTTACCCCCACATATATTTCATTCACATATTTTGAAATGGTTGCCACAGGCCCAGCAGATAGAAGTGGACCTGCAAAGCTGTATTTTGTGGGAGAAATTTGCATCTGTAGAAAATGTGTTAGTGCAGCCAGGCTCTCCCTTTCTAGACCTTTTTTTTTTTTTTCAAATCTAGGAGAGATTAACTGAGAATCTGACACCTGCCAAGGTCTGAAAAGAAACATTCTCCATCTATTTTCTCTGTGGGCTGCCAACGATTTACCTACAAAACAAGACCCCCTTTGCTACCCAAGTCTCTTCCTTTCTCCTTCTCATAACCTGTCTTGCCACTGAAACCTGTTTTACAAAGATCCAAACCCCCATTCTTTCTGTAACCTCAAGATGGTATACAAGCTTCCATACTGCACTGAGAGGGTAGGTCTTCATCCTGAAGGCTCCCATGTATACATGTCAAATACATTTATGTGCTTTTCCTCTTATCAATCTGCCTCCTGTCAGTAATATTTCAGCAAACCTTTAGGGGGCCAAAGACCTTAGCCCCATATTAGCAGTAGGCTTGTATTCAAATGCCTACCCAATGTTTTCATCCAAACATAAGGGACAGAGATCCTCCTTTGCCATATAGACTGTAGTCTGCAACATGAGTACCAGGACTTCTCCTGTATGTCCTTTAATTTTGTGAGGTTTAATGAAAAAAGGTAGTCTGACCTAGGCTGCACTGACATATGCCTCAATTTGTTGGTGGAAATATGCCCAGAGCTGCCTAGGAATCAAGAGTATTTTGAATGAATGCTTGTGAATTTCTTATCATAATAAATGCATTGTATAATCATATTCTCTCACCAATCTGCTTGTGAGAGCTTCCTCTACTTGGCTTCCCTCAAACTATCCTTGACTGACTCTCACATTCAGGTTTTCAACAGCCAGTTTCTCTTCCATGCTAGGAGTCTTTTTTTTTTTTTTTTTTTTTGAGATGGAGTCTCGCTCTGTCACCCAGGCTGGAGTGCAGTGGTGCGATCTCAGCTCACTGCAACCTCTGCCTCCCAGGTTCAAGCTATTCTCCTGCCTCAGCCTCCCAAGTAGCTGGGACCACAGGTGCCCGCCACCACGCCACCACACCTGGCTGATTTTTGTACTTTTAGTAGAGACAGGGTTTCACCATATTGGCCAGGCTGGTCTCAAACTCCTGACCTTGTGATTTGCCCACCTCGGCCTCCCAAAGTGCTGGGATTACAGGTGTGAGCCCCCGTGCCCGGACTTGCTAGGAGTCTTAAATGTTAAAGACAATGTTGCATCTATCTGGCTGCTGAGTCAGATGAAGAAAAAGCAAGTGCATAGTTAATGGTGAGAAGTCATAGCTAATAATATTTAAAACTACAGCAGTACTTCAGAAAGATTAGCTCCTTCATGATGGCACCTCCTTTTTTTTAACCTTTCACAGTTAACAGCAAATTTTATAGTACTTTTCTCTATCAGTCCTGAAACCAAGCAAATATTTTTATGCCACAACTATCATTGTTTAGAGGGACTAAGAATGTGTAGAGATTCTGAAAGTATGACCATCTATTTCTAAGAGAAGTGTTACAGTAGTTTCAAGAATCCCTGGCTCATTTATCCTTGCTCAGTGAAAGAAAAGAAGAAATACCCATAAATAATACCATAAATAGGAAGGCACTGGTGTAAGTTATGTAAAAGGACAGAGAAAATGTAGAGAAATACTATAATGGCTAAATTTTCTCCCCCCCTTTTATTCTTATAAGAGACAAAAAGAATGAAATCAAGAGATCAGATATCCTGAAAAAACTGCAATAATCTAAATGGCCACTATGTTTATCTAAATTATTTAAGATCTAACAATTTGCAAATTTCTCACTATTTAAAACTGCATGGTGTCAGCGTGGTTTTTTCTCTATGACAAGGGTGAAAAACCTGCAGCCTCATCACACTTGTGCCATTCCCAATATAAATATTCTTCTCTCTGCCTTCTCACCTACACATTTCAGCTGCTTCTTCCCCCAGGATCCTTTACTCACCAATATTCCATTGGTTATCAGTAGGAGTTGAGATGATGGAAACACGCTTTCCCCTTCAAAGGTGCTGCTAGTTCCAAAGCTGTAGCCTCGGGCTCAGGAGTACCTTTCCACTCACCCCCATGCATGGATAATTAATACGCCATGAAGGGCTTTTACGATCTCTTTTGCTGGGATATTTTTAAGCTTGAGAAGTTTAAGAACAATTTAGTCTTTCTCCATACATACTCCATTCTCCTATCCCTTTTTTTGTCTATAGGTTTGGCCCTTAGCATGACTGGTTCTTGGGTGGATTTCATACAGTTCCTCCCCCAGGTATAAGTAAGTGAGAAGATCTCGTTGATTCCTGTCCTGAAGAAAGTTTCAGATTTGCCCCTGAAGTGACCCTGGAAGAATCCTCAGCCTTCAAGCTCTGTAGCCTGTGTCTCCTGAGAAGACGCAGAGAAGCTCAGCAGAACCAAGGCTGGTTACTAGAGTCACCATTCTGTTGAGTACCTAAATACAATCATTATAATTATAATTATATATTAATAGCAATCATAATCTGGTATGGTGAAAGGGTCAAAGGCTTTGGAGCTAAAGAGACTGGGATATCTCTCAAACTTACCATATGTGTAACTTTGGGAAAGTTACTTAATTTGCCTCACGCTCAACTTCCTGTTATATAAATTAGAGATAATTTTTGCTCCATGGAGTTACTAGGAAAATTAAGTAAAATAATCTGCATAAAGACCTTCATATTGAACTGGAACAGATTAGGTACTCAATAAATATTAAATTCTTCTATATCATGTTTATTTTTTGGCATGCACCAGACCAAAAAAAATTCTATAGATATGTCCATGTATCATACAAACTTTGACATTTAGGTGGGTGTTTTTGCATACATGAAACTACTATGTTGGTGGGATCTAGAGAAATAAATTATTTTACAAGCCAAGCAGAGCATAGAAAGGGGCCTTCTAATTAGACCCCTCTTCCAGCTTCTACTCAGTAGTGCTTAGGTTAATCAATAGAAGCAGCATGCAATGGAGAACACAACCAGGAGAAATTTTGAGTTTCACTGAAATCTTGGCCATGACATAACAATTACTTGAAATATCATTCACTTCAATCCAACAATCACTTATTGAAAATGTTATATACTTACATGATTTATATGATAGGATCAGAGTGAACTGTACTCCATACCCTGATTCAAAGCAACCAGCAAAACTTATTTTCTAAAAATTACATCAAATAGAATCAGAAGCTGTGAATAAAATTGTTTCTCAAAGCTCTGGGTGGTGCTCTGATTGAGAAAAATCATCTCAAAGGTAACTTAAAAGTAATTTAATTATCCAGCTACCTCATTTAAATTTACTAATAAAATACTTTTTACCCCCAAATGCCCAAATGGTTTCAGATTTCCATAAGAATATATATTATGGATCTATTATTTCAAAAGTCAGAAAAATTTCTTCTAGGAAATTATCAAGAGCATTAGAGAACATTCTGGGCCTAAGTGTACTCATCTTTGTTAAGATAAGTTTTAAATGTATTTTTCATGGGGGTGTATGAACTGAAATTTTTCAAGCAATGTAACACAAATGGCATTTCTCTGGGAGACACTGTTTAACTCCCTGAGGCATAAAGACCAATATAAACACAAGTCAATCCATATGATAAGTAAACGCCCCAAAGCAAATATTGTGCACAGCTTTAACAAGAAGATTAAACAAGTCTTGAATCTGTCTCCTTTTATAGGTTACAACCAAGGATTCAAATAATGCTTTCATGATGTAGAAAATAATAAATCAGAGTCACATTGGACAGCAACTGGGGAACATACAAGGCACTTAAACACCACAAAGCCTGGATTTTCAGGTGTGCAACTTTTCACACTGATGAGATGTAAGATATTAAGAAAATATATTGCAAGAGAACTTTAAATTTTTAGTATTATTTATTTAGTATTTAAAGCTGCTATACTTTAAATTTTTAGTGTTTTTCTTTGAAACAATTCACCATGCAGATATGATTTCAAAATATTACAAACATTCATATATGTAATTAGCTGCATTTGACCTAATTCTGCTGACATTGTCTCCTGACACTCTCCTGTTGAATACAGCAAAATAAAGGCACCAGTAATCTCATGTACTAGTAAGATAATGTGATTTGGAATCATAACAGAAAATAATTTTTTAAGCAAGCAATTTATTTTGCTGAGCCCATTGAGATTGTAAATTGCCACCCGTGTTCCAGGACATTTTAGTTCCAAAGGATTTTTACTTATCCTTACTAGAGTTTTAGGTGGTTTCTTAGTGTTTGGAGTTGGATTCATCCTTTATATTTTTACACCTATTCACCAGATTTCGTAGTCTTTTCATAATCACAAAAATGAATATAGTTATGTGATACATAATGAATGTACAAATGAGATCCTTACCCCTAAATATAAAAAGATTCCATAGAACATAAATCTCCAGAAAAAACATCGCCGAAGGGCATTAATGAGTTTAGGATTTTTCTTTGAAGCCAGCTCTCTATCCCATTCTCTGCAAAAGAATAAAAAGTGGGACCAATAAGTTGCATGTGCAAATATTTTAGTTGTCCTATTTCCCTTAACATAGTTTGATTCACACAAGTATATCCAAGGAGATTAACCCAAGTATTATAGAGACAAAATCTCATGGAGACCATACAACACCAAACACTCAGCCAGATATTTGGCAGAATTCAATGCTCTGCCATATATCACTGTGCAGGGAATTGATTTCATGAAAAGGCCACATTGTATGTGTTAAAGAAAAGTGTTGGGCTTCTAAAAAACAATGAAAAGGGTGGACAAATAAAGTAAGGCTTTTACGAATGCTCATTGCTGTGCTTAGAACAAGGTGGAAAAAATAAACACACAAACATTCTACATTTTTCCCTTATACCTTGATCTTTATTGGTTTAGAACTGTGGCAGATTTATAAGATTTCACTGTCAAATCAAAAACAAGTTAAAATGTCAGGTGGCTTTTTCTGTGATTTAACATGAGAAAAATCTGTTAGACTTTGTTTTTAAAAGTAGAGGCATAAACTATCATTAAACTTCATTTTCAACTACTAAAATCATGTATTAAAGGTCTTTGAAAAATGAGAACAAGATCAAATTATATATTTTCTATTATAGTAAGAATAGACATTAAATAGTCTGAAAACTGGCTGAAATCTAGTAAACTTTCTGTTTTCTTTTAAATACTATAGGAACACCAGCTGATTGTATTTATTAAGTTATTGCCACTGATTTCTGTTAATGAAAGCCTTTTTTCTCTTCACAAAGGAATAAAATATCTCTAAATATTATCATCTTAATTTTCAAACTGTACAGAGATGAAAAATTTCATGAACCACAAGGAAGAACTAGGTAAACAATTAGACAAAGGCTTTACGTTTCATCAGTGGTTATTCCCATTACTGTCAAGTTACCATAAGTAAACATGGCTCTAAATCACTCTAAAGGAGTAATAGGCCGGGGCAGTGGCTCACGCCACTAATCCCAACACTTTGGGAGGCCAAGGCGGGCAGATCACTTGAGGTCAGGAGTTCAAGACCAGCCTGGCCAGCATAGCAAAACCCCGTCTCTACAAAAATTAGCCAGGCCTGGTGGTGCATGCCTGTAGTCCCAGCTACTCAGGAGACTGAGATTCGCTTGAACCCAGGAGGCAGAGTTTGCAGTGAGCTGAGATCACACCACTACACTCCAGCCTGGGTGACACAGCGAGACTCTGTCTCAAAAACAAACAACACAAACAAACAAAAAACATAAAGGAGTAATACACAGCTGAGATTTGAAGACAAGCCTGGCAATCTCTAAGCATGGATCTTGGCATCCCCTAGAAGCTTGCTAATGAGAGCCCTTCTATAAAGCCTAATTACCTTTTCCCATCTATTTCCCTCCCCACATGCTTCTCCACCTTTCTCTCACACACAGAGCTAACCTCCCATCCATAACATTTGGTTACTCAGAGTAAGAAGCTAAATATGGAGCAGACTCACCTTCTCCATCAAAGGAGAAATGGATCAGATGGGAAAGCCAAGGAAGGGGTGTGTACATAAACCAACAAAATGGGTTCAATGTGAAAAAGTGGTCCACACGGAAGTAATGTAGAAAGGTGTTGTTATATTTCATAAGAGGTCTCTAGTGACCCTGGGCAATGTAGTTTTAGGAACATGGTGGAAACCATACTTCAGGAGCTGAGATGTAAATGAAAGTGAAGTAGAGAGACCAGGAGAGCAGAGAATGTTAGCTATGAAAGAAAAAATAGAATGGGGTAGTTACCTGAGGAGAAGGCAAGGTCGGGGAATTTCTTTAATGGGTGAAACTTGAACAACTTGGTGCCACAAATTGTTAGCACCAAGAGTAGGTGATGTGGTTCTAGTAGGACCACATACCAGGCCCAGATCAGAAGGGAAGAAGTTTTATTCTTAAAAAGTTCATATCCTGACTACAATCTTGGAACGGATGTGTGGTTTGCACACTGCAGTTATGTAGAGGATTCAATCCATGGTCACAAAATTGAGCCAGATAGGTTAATGTTCTTCAACCATCTGGCAACCACTTGAGGGCCATGGTCACAAGGCAGTTATGAAATGTGAAGCCAGGGTCACTTCCCAAGGGTGCAGAGGTACAAAGTACCAAAAATGGTATGTCACTCTTCCAAAATATTTCAATAAATTTCAAATACCAATTTTATAAGAAAAGAAGTAACAGGGTGGAGATACAAAAACAAAACAAAACAAAAATAATAGAACGTATGGGTTTGTACTGGCATAGCATTGTTGAATTGAAGTAAAATAGGTATATTTTTTAAATTGAATCAACATGGGGGATACAGTGAAAACTGGAAAGAAAAAAATGTTAAGCCAGATAATTCTGCAAATTCAGATTCATGTTCTCTATCTGGCCATAAATACAAATGTATCACATTTTTCAATTAACCCAGCCCTACTCTGATTAATCATTCCCTCAGCATCCAATTAAAACTTAGATATTCAAAGCTGGGCATAGTGGCTCACACCTATAATCCCAGCATTTTGGGAGGCCAAGGTGGGCAGATCACTTGAGGTCAGGAGTTCAAGACCAGCCTGGCCAACATGGCGAAACTCCACATCTACTAAAATACAAAAATTAGCCAGGCATTGTGGCGAGTGCCTGTAAACCCAGCTACTCGAGAGGCTGAGGCAGGAGAATCACTTGAACCCAGGAGACGAAGTTTGCAGTGAGCCAAAATTGCACCATTACACTCCAGCCTGGGCAACAGAGCAAGACTCTGTCTCAAAAACAACAGCAACAACAACAACAAACATTTAGATATTCAATACCCATTATATTATTTTGAACTTGTCAATATACCTGCAATGGATTATGTTTATATATTTTATCTCTCCAGCAATGCTACAGGTTTCTATGTAATGCTAGCCATTTCACATTCCATCATGGATTCATTCAACAAATATTTATTGAGTATATACCATATGCCAGGCCCTATTCTAGGCACTTGGGGATACATCATAAACAAAAGAGATCGAACCCAATAAAAAATAAAAAACAAAACAAAGTATCCCTACCTCATGGCATTTGCACACACCAAGTGTTCAATAATAGAAGCTGGCCCTTGATCTTAGAAGTGTGAATCTGCTACTCCCACTAGCTTAATTCTTTGAATAAAATCAATAAAAATAAAGTTTAATATCTTACTTTGCCTTCAAAATGCCAAAAAAAGGAAATGAATTTAATTAAAAGAAACAAATTGCAAGTCAACTCAATGTTTTTACTTTGGTGCAATAATTTAGTAGCTATGTCTTATTTTTTATCCCCCTTCACTCACCCTTTTATCTGGCATCAGGCCTGTGCTGTTGGCACGAGACTCAGCCTAGTTCATTCTAGACTATGAGTGGCCCAAGGGGTAAGCACTATGACTCAAGAGTCTCTGGGATTTTTCACATTTAGCCAAGGACAAAGGGCTCCTTCTTTCGTGGTCCTTAAAGATAGGAGCAAAGAGTTCTAACCAGGGACCCACTTTATGTAGAAAGCTGGTCCGGTCTGAGAAAATAAAACCAGCATAAGGCAAATGCCACCAGGTGGCATTTGAGTCCTTGGTCCCATTGAGTTCCTAAGGCCAGTTCTCCACCTAGGTCTTCACATAGTTCAGGCTTCATGAGCCAATAAATTCGTTCCTTTTATTTACTTAAGCTAGTAAATTGGGTTTCTGTCACTGGCAATCAAAAGGATCCTAACCTTTTGATTGGAAAGGAAACTGAGAGATTCTTTATGGGGGGGACTACCATTCCTAGAGAGCAAGGCAATACAGACCTCAGCTGGAATCATGGCTCCATCATTCATTAACTGGCAAAGTATATTATCTCTCTGAGCCTCAGTTTGCTTTTCTGTAAAATAGAGATAATGATGCTTTCCACTCAGAGTGGCTGAGAGGAGATATTCTACCTGGCATGTAACAGGTACTCAAAAATATACAATTTTTACATTTGTTTGATAACCAGTAGCCATTACCTTAAGACTTCCCAGGGAGTACATTTGTATTCAAATATAAAGGTTTTGAAAGCAAATATACACGATTTACTTCATAATGGTGTTACTTTAGTTTTCACAAAATCCATCTCATGGTCTCTAATAAGACAAATTCTCTGAAACCAAATGTGTATTTTTCAGGAAAAAAAATCATTTCTTAGGAAACTGATTATTTTTCTTTTATGATTTTATTGTTTAATGATTTCAGTCAACATTTCAGTGTGAAAATGAGATGTTCCTTTTTTTTTTTTTTTTTAGAGAGAGAGGGTTTTGCTGTGTCACCCAAGCTGGAGTGCAGTGGCACAATCATAGCTCACTGCAACCTCAAACTCCTGGGCTCAAGTAACCCTCCTGCTTCAGCCTCCTGAGTAGCTGGGAATACAAGCATGCACTACCATTCCCAGCTAACTTTTTTATTTTGTGTAGAGATAACATCTTGCTATGTTGCCCAGGCTGGTATCAAACTCCTGGTCTCAAGCAATCCTCTCATCTTGGCCTCCCAAATAGTTGGGATTACAGGCATTAGCCACCATACTTGGCTCCTATTTTTAAATATAAGAATTAAACTTATAATATGTTTGCTTTCTCTTCTCTAAATAATTAATAATATGAATTTCTCTCTTCAACTAAACAATGTACATGAACATACCTTTCCAATTTTTCAGATAGATTGTCAGCAGAATCAACAGAAGGGATTTGGTATATGTCTGACAATTCCAGGCGCTGTCTGTATCCTTTCCTCAAAATTGGTCTGGTCCAGCTAAAATAAAGAGAGGAGGAACAGATATTCACTTGATTTGGTCTCCATACAGATTTGGAATCTGATACTATTCAACTTTTCTGGCATATGGAAAATTATGCACATGTAAATATGAGAATAAAATAAGTCAATTTCTATAAATACCAGGCTTCATCTCTTACAGGCTACACCTGTATAAAACATCAATATCTCTGAACTAATGTGACTGTCACTTTGTCAAAGGGATTGGGAGGGAATAATAGTATGGTTTTTCCCAGGGAAAAAACAAACTGCTAAACATTCCATATTTAAATTATTCTTTAAAAAATAACTGCCCCCAAATAATCATATACTAGCAGTTTATAGCAAATTACTGAAGTCCAGCCTCTTCCATTTCAAATATAAAAAAACTCTGAATAAGACATGCACTTAATCAACATTTAATCAACAGCCTTATATAATTTTGTTACTGTAGCATGCATACTCAGTAATGAGCTATTCATTGAAAGAATGACTATAGCCAGAGAGTTAGTGATTAGTTTCTATCAATTTGTTGACTTAATTATCATGTCTGAATCATTACCTGAGGGTAGGATCATAACTTTCTTATGTTTTGTCTCCTCACTCCATAGCAGCTACACTCATCTGCCCTCTAGGCATCAATAAATAATAATTTATAATGGAAATTAGTAAAGTTGGCATGGGAAATCACTATGCAGGATACCGTAGTGATTTTCAAAAATATTGTTTCTAACTGTTGAGGATAAGGCAGAATAATCTTCATAAAGATAGGAAAATCTAGAAAGAAGAAAGTAGAAGAGGAGGCAGAAGAAGGATTGTGAAATCAATCATGTACAAAGAGAAATTTCTAAATAAAATTCGAGAGCACGAGAGCTTTCTCAGGTAAAATTGAATATATTTATTAAAGAAAGGAATTGAACTGGGATTTAGTGAGTCCCAAACCTATGCTTTTTCCCTCAGCATCTTTCTTTTCTCTGGAGAGTTCTAAAATTTGTGTCATTCAGACCTTATTTGGTAATGTATCAAAATGCATGTTAAAGCACCAAAATTCAAAAGGGAGTGCTTTAGCAATATCTGAGAAGCAGGATAAATTCATTATAGAAAAGATATTCTAGCAAAGCCATTCAGAACAAAAAGAGAAAGGGCTATGCCAAATGCAAACATTTTGACACTGTTCTGGGGCAAAACTTTGCCAGTGGCCCTCATATCCAATCTCACTGCTCCCACCCAGGTCCTTCTTTATACTTCCTTGGTCTGGAACTTCTTCAGTAGGCACCTGCCCTGGGTTCTCGATATCTCTACAACTTGTCCTTCATTAAAACTTAACTGAATTAGGGCTCTAAGGTTAAGTAACTTCATCAATTATTCCTTACTAAGATATTAATAAGTGAGTATGGTTTACTATGTCATATTTTTTCCATTAATTTGCAATATCCGCATTTTAACAAGAGCTGTCTTTAACAAAGAGCGATAATTAGGTTTACCCTTCATTGCCCAGTCTGATTCATTTGTAATTTTTCCTGGAGAGCAATAAAGAAAATAGTTGAGGCCAGTCTGAATACAGCAGGAAAATGAATGCCATGATCATGCAAGGTCTTCAGTGGACATCATCTGAGAAAGTGATGGCACACCCACCTGGTGCATACTATCCCAGTATCTAACATAAAGAACAGAAGGAAAGTCGAACATACAGGTGGCAATTAGGCTGTAAAAAAATCTGGGACAGCAATTTATGATATAATTTAGATTATGAGCCCTTGTAAACTAAAGTCAAGAAGTGAAAAAGGTGAAGTAAGTGTTTACTACTAATAAAAACCCGTGTATTTAGCGCTTTCCAAAGTGCCTTCATAAACATGAGCAGGTTGTGGTTTTCATTTGAAAATCTTCTTAAATGGGTAGAACTAAAAGGGATCATTGCTCAATTTTATTGATAAAGAGATGGAGGCTTAGAGATGCTAAACTTTACTAAATGGCAAAGCCTAGGTCTTTCCACATTCTTTTGACTTCATTCATTCTTTTACCATGTTCAACTTTCCCTATTTAAGAAAATTTGGTATGCTGGGTTGTGCTAGACAGACAGCTGGGAGAGGAGCCTGAAAGCAGGAAGAACAAAAGATAGCAGACTGCATGTAGTGGTGTTGCATGCAGGCAAATATTTAACAATCCCCTCTCCGGAAAACAAAAACAAAAACAAAAACTGACTTACGGCATTTGCCAATTTCTATGATATAAATACTCTCATCGTCATCATTTTAAAGCAACCAAATATAAAGTCATTGAACACAGAGTTGGGAAGGGATACACAGTTGCATATTAGAATATAGTACAATGAAAGTGCAATAGAATATAGTCCACCTTTCAAATACAATGAAGGCAAATAACGTTAATAGCATAGATAATAGTAAAATGCAAAATAATTAGGAAGTGATAATTTTTGTTTTTTTGTTTGTTTGCTTTTTGTTTTTTTTTTTTTTTTGTTTCTTTTTTTTTTTTTTTTTTTTTTTTGAGACAGAGTTTCACTCTTGTTGCCCAGGCTGGAGCGCAATGGCGCAATCTCAGCTCACCACAACCTCCACCTCCTGGGTTCAAGCAATTCTCCTGCCTCAGCCTCCTGAGTAGCTGGGATTACAGGCATGCACCACCATGCCCGGCTATTTTTTTATATTTTTAGTAGAGACAGGGTTTCTCCATGTTGGTCAGGTTGGTCTCGAACCCCTGACTTCAGGCAATCCACCTGCCTCGGTCTCCCAAAGTGCTGGGATTACAGACGTGAGCCAGTGCGCCCAGCCAACTTTTGAGTTTTTAATACTTTTGTTTTAATATAATTTATTTAATTATAAGTTGAAATAATTTAATTTTTAATAATGGCCATGTTTAACAATTAGCTCACAAATTTTCTGAAAATTTAAAAATCAGCTCAGCTGGAAAGAGCTAAGTGCAGCAGATCACTTACTGCCAGATGTTTGAAAGGCTTAGAATGAGGGTAATGGCACTGTGTGTGGATGGAAAGAAAAGAACCTGTAGAACATTTAGTAAAAAGGAAAATGTGCTCCCACTATTAATAAATTCTGCATTTTCAATATGTTTGAAATTATTAAAATATGACACTATATTTACAAATGAGCAGAATTTCACTATCTGTCAATACCATACCAAAATAAGGCATTTTCAAGAAATGTAAAAATAAATCTCCTCAATCTCTTTTAAAAAATATAAACGTAACTCTTTTGGTCCTTATTTACAACCCAGTGACCTTTCCCATAAATGGCCAGTTCAGTTCAAAGTAACACAATTTGTGAGCTGCTTTTATAAAAAGCTTCCTGTGTTATCTGTGCCCATTTTAATAAGTTATGTTACACCATGACACATCGTTTTGATTAGCAAGAATGCCATAGCCTAGCATCATCAAACCAAACAAATTCAGTAATATAAAGACTTAAGTTCACCATCTATAATTATTAGTATCACTTAGTATTTCCTGGAAGATTCACTACAATAAACCTCTATTTATATCCTGAAATACAAATTGGGTTTAAGGTAAATTATGATAACTAAAATCCATTAAGCTTATGCTGCCCAACAATGACCACAGAGTCATCTTAAGGAAATATTTTATTTTGTGAGGTTAAATCAATAAAATTGAATGAAAAATATGTCCCATCAGGCCAGGCGCGGTGGCTCACGCCTGTAATCCCAGCACTTTGGGAGGCCGAGGTGGGTGGATCACCTGAGGTAAGGAGTTCGAGACCAGCCTGACCAACATGGAGAAACCCCATCTCTACTAAAAATACAAAAAAAATTAGCCAGGCATGGGGGCACATGCCTGTAATCCCAGCTACGCGGGAGGCTGAGGTGGGAGAATTGCTTGAACCTGGGAGGCGGAGGTTGCAGTGAGCCGAGATTGTGCCATTGCACTCCAGCCTGGGCAACAAGAGCAAAACTCCGTCTCAAAAAAAAAAAAAAAAAAAAAAAAAGAAAGGAAGAAAATTATGTCCCATCAAAGAATTCTCCATGCCTACCTCAAGCCAGTCTTAGAAATACAAAAAAAAACCAGACATCTATACTTAGACACTTTATGAAATATTAGTTAGTGCAAAACTCCAGCCACCCTTTCTTTTGAAAAACCCTGAGTATATTAAACCTAGAATGTTTAAATGCACAGTAAGGACTTTTCAGCATTTCTTCCACTAGAAATCAGTGATCATCCAGGTGTTTCATGAGACAAAGCAGACACACCTGGAATAACCAAAAAGCAATAAACTCGGCTCTGCCTTTCACTTGGGCCTGCTGTCTTCCCCTCTCACCTCTAGTTCATCTTATCCTTCTCTTTCATTCATAACCTCCATTCATAGCCACTACATATTGACGACAGACTTTTACATTGGTCTACTTAGAAATTTTGTTCAAAGCTCTGGCTATTTCTTTCTTTCTTATTGTCCTTTGTTTGTTTGTTTGTTTTTGTAGAGATAGGATCTCACCAGCCTGCCCAAGCTGGTTGCAAATTCCTGGGCTTAAGAGATCCTCCTGCCTTGGCCTCCCAAAGTCCTGGAATTACAGGCATGAGCCACCACCACACCCAGCCTAGTTCTGACTATTTCTAACAGAAACTAATTAATCATTCACTATGGGATAGCAAACAGAGATCCCTAAGGCATACAGATTTTACTATGTATAAGTTTTAAACTAACTTTGAAAAAAAAGTCTAGCATCCTAGATACACTGTTCTGTTCACTTAACTATAAGAGATTTCAGATTTTATTGAGGAAAAGCCCTATCACTTGATTTTTTAAACACACACACACACACACACACACACACACACAGATGAAACTATAGTAAATTTCATTTCTTAGGACAAAAATTCCAATTTTTGTATAGAGTGACTTGTAATTCCTTATAAAAAAAGAACTTGCCAATTATAATCACTATTAAAGCTTTGATTTTCATAACATATCCTCCTAAAGTCATATAATTAAAGCTTATACTCATTTTTCGATCTGACTTTTGCCTTTTATTAATCCAAAAGACGCATCTGACATTTTCATCTGCCAAAACTTCAGATGAAGGTCATGGATATCAGATCTTTTCAAGTCAAAATGATTTTTAGTGTAGAAAACAATCATGCTTCCATGTATTTAACATTACTTTTTATTTGACTAGGCAAATAAAATAAAATGCAATAAAATAAAATAGGAAATTCAAACCACTAATTGCATGACACTTCTCCCAAATATTGACATACTAATACACTTAAAGACTAATAGCCTTTTTCCTTTTTGCATGAAATAATTAACACTTGAGGAATTAATAGCAATTACTCTAGTTTGTGTAGACAAATTCAAATACATTAGAAAATTTCTGATCATCCAATGTATTTGCCATGAGTTTGAAATAGGCCACACAATCTGGATAGTCCTAACCAAAAAAAAAAAAAAACAAATGTTGAAGACAGGCAGAGGAAAGAGGGGACTCATTGGAAAAGATTGTGATCATAAATCCCAAACTTCTAGAGCACAGCTCTACCACTTTGCTTTAGTTATTTTGATAAGTGACTATGATAGGGAGGATTGATTTGAGACTAAAACTCATCTAGT
This sequence comes from Homo sapiens, assembly GCF_000001405.40. Lineage (NCBI taxonomy): Eukaryota > Metazoa > Chordata > Mammalia > Primates > Hominidae > Homo > Homo sapiens. The sequence goes on along the minus strand of NC_000007.14, from coordinate 117,498,658 downwards.
GTCTATAAGGATATTTTTCTAAAATCATAAATAACATTTTGAATGTCACATTTATTTTATCCAATTTAGATTCAGAGTTATTTAGTCAGATGTATTTTTCTCAAAGAATCATAGTAAAAGTAGGACTTGACAAAGTGATACTATCCAGCTCTCTAAAGTCCTGTGTAAAACTTGTAGGCTTCAAGAATTCAATTTAAAATCGCAGTATTGGGGTCAAGTTACTAATTTCCCCTCCTCTGATTCCACAAGGTATTTAGCAGTGTTTGCTTCTTCTCCATAAAATGGTGAATTTATAAGCAGTAATCACTTGGTCAGCTTAATCAACTTTAGGGAGTATATGCTCGCTAAAGACAAGCCTTGTGTATATTTGAGTTAATTGTTCATGAGGCTTAATTTTACCAAGGGACTTGGAGAAGTTCTTTTTCTTTCTCTAGGTAGGTAAACACCATTAAAGTGGTCAATTAATTTCAGAAGCTCTGGAGAACTAATTATTTGCTGCTAAACAAAAGACTACAAACCAATACTGAAAAATCTTCTGCAGGTCCAGGATTTACAACCATACAGGCACCCTAATGGAAATTAATTTGCTAACTTCGTACCTAATGAATCCAAACATTAAATAGAAAATTGATCTACCCATTTCATGCAATGCTTCTAAACTATAAACATTATTAGGAACAGACGTATGTTAAGAAAATATCAAAAAAGATATTTTCTTTTTTGCTTCTCTATATTCTCTAATGTTTAACAATAGCATGCATAACTTTGGAAGGAAAGAATTCTTTTTCATTAAAGAAAAGGTATGTGTAATTATAATGCATTAATTGCTATGGGTAACTATTAATGTAAATTTTCTGGCCAAATATGTTCTAACTTCATGATTTTCATATAATGCTCACTATCAATATTAATTTTCTATAAAATCACTTTTTCTTTCTCAACATGGTTGTCTCACACATGGTTTCTTTCTCAACAAGGTAATATTTCAACTTGAAGAATACGAATCCCCAGTCACCTGATGCCTACTACAAATCTGTTATTGAAAAAAACTGAACTAAAGATTTTAAGAAGAAAACACAGCCCTAGCTTGTAACCTTGTCTCTATTATTTCCCAGTGATATCGCCTTGGAAAAAGCTCTGAAGATCTCTCAGCTACAGTTCCTGCTGGAGATAATAACTACCATGACCACTATTCCTGATGTTCATGAGAGCCAAATTCAATGTTGTCTATAAAGCATTATGTCTGTACATTATTACATGCTTCTTCATATCAACTGCTTGGCTTTGGTTTAATTTTCAAAGCACCAGAATTTATTATTGGGATTATAACAATAATGATAGCTAACATTAGTATTCATTACCACAGACTTGCATAATTCTAAATATTTCACATACATTATTTCATCTGATCCCCACAACAATTCAAGAGGTAGGTCTTGGTAATATCTCCAACTTACAGTTGAGAAACTGAGGCTAAGGAAGCTTAATTAGTTAATTTGTCAAGGGCAGAGTCAGAATTTTAAAATTAGGATTGTGACACCAAAGCCTACACATGTATCCAATTTGCCATATTACAACTAATTTTTTAAAGTAGCATACACTTAGATACAACACCAGAAGCACAAACAGCAATAACAAAAAATAAATTGGAAATTATCAAAATTAAATACTTTTGTGCTTCAAAGGACACCATCAAGAAAATGAAAAGAAAATCCACAAACATTAGCAAAAAAAGAAAAAAAGAAAAAGAAAAAAAAAACTCACAATGAAATACCACTTCATGCCCAGTAGGATGGCTGTAATTTTTAAGAGTAGATAATAGTAAGTGTTGCAAATATGTGGAGAAATTGAAACACTCACACAATGGTGGAAGGAATTTAAAATGATGCAGCCACTTTGGAAAACAGTTTGAAAAATCCTCAAAATATTAAACATAAAGTTACTATATGGCCCATCCATTACACTCGTAGGTATATGCCCAAAAGAAAGGAAAATGGATGTCTGCACAAAAACTTGTACACAAATGTTCATAGCACCATTATTTATAATAGACAAGAATTAGGAACAATCGAAATATCTATTAACTGGGGAAAGGATAAATAAAATACATATTCTTACAAGTGGGATATTATTCAACAATAAAAAGAATGATGCAAGCCAGGTGCTGTGGCTCACACCTATAATCCCAGCACTTTAGGATGCTGTGGGAGGAGGACCACTTGAGCCCTGGAGTTTGAGAGCAGCCTAGACAACATAACAAGACCCTGTCTCTAAAGAAAATTATAAATTAGACAGTCATGTGGTGCAAGCCTGTAGTCTCAGCTACTCGGGAGACTGAGGTGGGAGGACCGCTTTCGCCTATGACTTCAAAGCTATAGTGACCCATGATCATGCCACTGCACATTCCAACCTGGGCAACAGAGCAAGGCCCTGTCTCTAAAAAAATAAAAAAGAATGATGCACTGATACACGCTACAACAGGGATGAATCTTTGAAAAAAAATGCTAAGTGAAATAAGCCAGTCACAAAAGAACACTTTGTTCTATTTACATAAAATTTCCAGAACAGGCAAATCTATAGAGATGGAAAGTACATTTGTAGTTGTCTAGGGCGAGCAGGGGGATTTGGAATAAGGAATGACTGCTAATAGGAATGGAGTTTCTTTTTACAGTGATGAAAGTGTTCTAAAATTGGTTATGGTGATAGGCAACTCTTTGAAGATACTAAAAAATCATTGGATTGTATGCTTTAAATGGGTAAGTTGTTTTGAATATGAATTATATCTCAATAAAGCTATTATTAAGAACAACAGTATACAGAAATCAACTGTCAGTGTTAATTTTAGAAAGTTTTACTAAACATTTGATTTTTCACTCCTAGAACTGGTGAAATCAAAATTTTCATTATAGTGACTTTGATACACTAAAGTCTTTCAAATATGTCAATGGCTGGGTGGCTACAGCAAGTGATTTAAGATTTCATGCATATTTCATGAGATCTAAGGACTGGTGACATGCACCATGAGTTGTGTAAATTGTTTGTTTTCTGTCCTCTAGAAGCAAGGAACTTAACTTCTGGGACAACTATGAATTTATGACTTCAGATAAAAGTTGTAAGAGCAATAGTATCGTAAAGAAACCAAGGAATGTGTACCATTGGCATTGAAAGGCCACTTCTAACAGCTGTATCTAATTCACTCACATGACTTGGATTTCAAAGACTCAAGCACTTGAGAGGCAATAATAAGTAATGCTACAAAAAAAATCCCACCCATCTTGAAACATAACAGAGGAAACAAAGCATTGTGATTTATAGTTGATGCCCATCTACTTTAGAGAAGCATCCTCAGAGTGCCTTTCCAGGATTTTGGTTTGATTTTTATTCTATCTGGGAATGAAGCCACTAACAAGAGCCACAAAACTGTAGCTGGAACAACTGGCTAGAAAGAAGAATGATTAACTACCCTATAAATTGCTGCATCCTGTATAAGTTCACATTTAGGAGCTCTTTATTCACAAGACAAGGGATGCCATTGCTCTCTAATTTAGGATTTTTATTTCCATTGGCAATAAAAATATATTTGAAACCAAGAAAATAAGGAAAAGGGGAAATGGATTGGCCTTAAGATTTTATAGTAGAAATGCCACTGGGTTACTGGCTGGCATTTTTAAAGCTTAAAGAAAGAAACTTGTGCAACTGTCAAAACGTCATCACGGTTACTGTTAGACAATCACATTTTAGAGAACAGAAGCAGAGAAACAGTTTTAAGTATGTCCATTCGTAGCTGAGAGGGAAAAAGGAAAACAAGTTCCACCTCTCCTTGGCCTAATATAGGAACAAAATAGAAATCACATGAGTGATATAAGGATATCTCCCACATGATATATTGATTTAACTTTGCTGGTATTTATTTTATAATTATTCCATTTATTTGGTATTTCCTCTCTTTTTCTAGACCTCAAAATCCCTTATTGAGGCTCTTTGTTCACCTAGCTTGTTCAGATACCATCACTAGGACCCAAAGTAAATACTCTCTACTAGGTTTCTCTGTCCTTTGACAGAAATACCCATATTTTTCCGAGCCATCATTGTTATTCTGGAATTAACTCAAGATTTGGAATTAAAGTACTTGATTTTTCTTTGCTAAAGTGTTTATTGAAAGATGGAGGTGACATTTCTCTTTGGGGACATAAATGCTCTGATAAGCTCTGGGTTATAGGAGTCAGGAATCTGCCTGGCATGAACCACTACAGGCAAAGCGCATGCTAGACATCCTTATGACTTTCAACAACCAAATGATGTAATGACCTCTCACTATGTGTACAGAAAAACCACTATTTATTAAATCCTTTCTAACACTAGCTTGCAAGTTACTGCCTTGAATCGACTTTCCCCAAAATTAAAAAAAAAATACTGTGTAATTCCACCTGATATAGTTTGGGGATTTTTGTTTCTTCACTGGTGAAATAGAGACTAGAAGTGACCTCAAAAATGTTCTAAGATGAAGATGATTAAGAATTAATACTCCAAGGATAATACTGAAACTGATGCTGCATCACAATGACAAAGCTGGTGATTTTTAAAATTCAGTTGTGATAAAGTTGGTCTCTAGGATTCTGCCTGAAATCATCTAAACAGATAAAAATGATCAGTCGATTCTGGAATTTTTCTCTTCTGTCTTAATCTTCCCTTCACCTTCATTTGTTTATGTTCTCTGCTCTGTTATACAGGTATGTTATGGCTACACATGATTATTTCTCAGAAGGATTCAAAGAACATCATGGCATTGGATTCAGACTTCCCAGTGGCAGCTGATTTCCCACTTTCAAACTAAACATGGAATTGGGTTCTTGGTGGCATTTTAACCCTTTTTTCTTCCACTGTTATTACTTAACCCTCAAGAAAACAAATTGCTAAGTACTGCAAATTAAAAGGGAAAGTTAGCATCTTCTTTACTTCTCTTTTTGGGGAGCAGTATGTAGACACAATTGTATGACTCAAGATTTAAGTTTCATCCTGTTCTTGAGTTTGAGGACCAATACTAACGCTACTTTCATTTTCTTCAAGCTTTATTATCACTGGGAGGGAGATCAATAGCAAAGCTTGAGAGAGGCAGGATTGGACAGCATCCCCAGATTAACAATCCCGCATTCCCACAGTGAATCCCAGAAGGAAGGAGCAAGACAGAGGCAGAGAACATAGACAACAATTGGCTCAAGGTTTACCAAGGAATTAATAAGACTCTACCTCAAAAGCCTTGCTTTAAATCCCTTTTACTTAATATTTACATCTTTTTTTTCATAAAAGCAACATATACCTAAGTAAAGGTCTGCAAAACACTTAAGTTGCTATTTTTTCCAATAGCAAAACATACAGTAATAGATAATTGATTCATTAACCAATCCTAATAAGCAATTTAAGAATTCAAAATGTTCATCTTTGCAATCAGGTCATTAAAAGCACAAATGATGATAATTTGGAGAAAATAATTTTTATAGGCATTTCAGAATTTTTTTGACCTCAAAATGTTATAATCTCTTGCTTCCATTCACACTCTAGGAAAATGAACTTTAAAGGAAACGCTGTGCCAGATTCTCTTCTTTTTGAACTCTGCAGGAGCTCCCGCTGAATGAAACTATTGATTTATTAGGTGGCTCTTAATTTTTAAAAAGATTATCCTATTACCATCACTGGGCATGGCATTCTTTGGTTCAACCACATCACACTGAAAAAAAAAATGGTAACTTCCTTAAAATAAAACCTAACCTCTATTTCCAAGAAACCTCAAATGCATTGAAATAGTCACACATAAATTATGTATGTGTGAGCCTCTCTGAAGTCTAGATTAATTCCCCATGGTGTGCTCTATTCTATCCTGTACTTCTTCTACCTGAGCCTTTACCACAAAATGTGTATTTACTTGTCTGCCAACGCCCCATGTTTCCAAGCACCCTAGACTGTAAGGTCCACAAGAAGAAACACCTTATAGATCTTGTGTTTTTTTTAAACTACTGTATCCCCTGTGCCCAGCATGGAACATGGCACATAACTGAGATTACAATTTGTTTGCTAATTTCTTTCCCTCAGAAGACTAACTTCTTGAGGACAAGGCAGGTGTAATATTTATCTTTTATCTCCATCATGTTGTTCAGTGCCTGGAACAGAGCAGAAATTGAACAAATTAATGGGTCAATCAATTAATTACACAAACATGATATGTTTGGAGCCCACATGATGACACTGATTGCAAATAGGTATTGCTTAGCTGTTACTCTTGGTCAAATATATTAAAAGCCAAAAAAAAAAGGTCAAAACATTTTTCAATTCTATAGTAAATGCAATGCAAATGTGAGGGTGCCTATACTTGTTCAGGGACAATTCTTTAATAATGTTTCTTCTCTTTTTCTGAGTCCTAAAGATGATCATCCTAAAACTTCCAGCCAACATTATTTAATTGTCCTCAATAAAATGTTTTTATATGCAACCTTCTCCATTATCAAAATATTCTTCCTAAGTTTGGCCTTCATCCTATTTTTAGTGGACATGTACCAAAATTTCATAAATGGAAAGTCATTCTTCAGTCCTCTCAAGAGCAAAAGGTCCTTTTTCTTATGACCTTCTTGGATTGTTCCTGTATCATATCACTTAACATCCTCTGCAATGTCTCCATGCTATTTATGGACCACTATACATGAGGTATATATGGCTTTCAATAGGTTTCATAGATTAACTCCCTACATGTATATACTTTATGGTCTCAAATTACTTCCATATCGCATTCTGCTCCTAAAGAGTGTTATCAATTGTTATAGGTTGAATTGTGTTTCCCCAAAAAAAGGTATGTTTGAGTCCTAACCCCCGGTACCTAAGGATGTGACCTTATTTAGAGATAGGATCTTTACAGAGGTAATAACATTCCAATGAGGTCACTAAAGTAGACCCTAATCCAATATGACTGGTGTCCTTATATTAATAGTAAAGAAGTTTGGACACAGAGACAGGCTCACAGGGAGAATGCCATGTGAAGATGAAAACAGAGATCAGGGTGATGCCTCTGTAAGTCAAGGAATGCCAAGGATTTCTAGCAAACCACCAGAAGGTAGGGGAAAGGCATGGAATAGACTCTTCCTCATGGCCCTTAGAAGAAAAACCTGCCAACACCTTGATCTTGTACTTCTAGTCTTCAAAACCATAAGATAATAAATTCCTGTTATTTAAGCCACCAAATTTGTGGTATTTTGTTATGGTAGCCCTAGCAAACTAATACGCTGGCCCTAATCAACAGAGAAATTCCACGTTAGGATGATGCACACAAGGGGACAAACAAACAAAGGTGATACTTTGAGTATTTAAGATACAGTTATGCACTGCATGACATTTCAGTCTACAGCAGACTGCATATACAATGGTGGTCCCATGAGATCACTACATAGTATTTTTAGTGCACCTTTTCTGTGTTTAGACATGTTCCGATATGCAAATACCACTGTGTCACAACTGCCTGCAGTATTCAGTATAGTAACAAGCCGTACAGGTTTGTAGCCTAGAAGCAAAAGACTATGTCATATTGCCTAGGTGTGTAGTAGGCTATACGACATCTAGGCTTGTGTAGGTATACTCTATAGTATTCTCACAACGATAAAATTGCCTAAGGACATATTACCCAGAACGCATTCCCATTGTTAACTGACATATGCCTGTAAATTTAAAAGCTAGAGATAAAAGTCAATGGCAAAGAAAGCCGACAGATGTGCAATTGGGAAGGGGCATTTGTAGGAGTGTGACCTTCATAATTCAGAGAAAGCACTGGGTCTAATTCATAGGAAAGGAGGGATAAATTTAGAGAAGAGAGGTACTTTCTCAGAGCCCAGACAGAAAGATGAAAAGGTGCTAATTATAATAATCCTGTTGTTGCTGATAACAGTGCTTACCATTTATTAAAGACGCCCTATGTCTGGCATTATTTGCTATCACTTAATGCATAGAAAGTGCTTACAGAGAGTGATGGTTAATTTTATGTGTCAACTGGGTGGGTGTTTTTGGATGAGATTAACATTTAAATCAGTAAACTTTGGTTAAAGCAGATTGCCCTCACTAATAAAGGTGAACTTCATCCAATCGGTTGAAGGCCTGTATAGAACAAAAAGGCTGGCCTCCCAGAGAAGGACGAAATTCCCCAACAGACTGCCTTCAGACTCAAACTGGAACATTGACTCTCCTGGGTTTCCTGCCAGCTGACCCATACTGCAGATTTTGGACTTGTTAGCCATCATAATCATGTAAGTCAATTCCTTATAATAAATTGTGTGTGTGTGTGTGTGTGTGTGTGTGTGTGTGTGTGTGTGTATCATTGGTTCTACTTCTCTGGAGAACCTTGACTAATATGCAGAGTAAATACTCAATGAATTTTTGATATCATAATAATACTGTGCCATGTAAAGATAAGGATAACTCATTGTACTGACGAGAGTAGCTGAGGTTCAGAGAGATTAAGTAAATTGCCTAAGATCACATTGTTAATAAGTGACAGAGTTAGGATTCCAGCCAGGTCTGTCTGATTCCAAAGTACATGCTTCTTCCATCATATATTGCTACCTGACAGTTGACAATGAAGATAAAGATGAAGTAGAATATGAGATCATTTTCTAAGGATACAAATGGCTGGAATGGGGACACAAGGGAAGATCAGGAACAACCAAGATGGGGGAAGAATTAAGTCAGTGGTTTTCACACTATGAGCCCCAATACCTAGTGTTCTCTAGAAATATTTCAGTGAATTCACCAACTTCTGATTTGAAATGTATGTATTTTAAAATATTATTTTATAGACAGGAACCAAGAAAATCACACATTCTCAAATGTAGGACTATATGTTAATTTTAGCACACTAGATTGATCCGAACATGATCCTGGGCTGTCAGGCTTGTTTAGTATTCACTATGTAGGAAAGCTTCTGCTGACATCTCCTTGCACATATTTAAACCTGTTATGATCTGTTATTGGTTATCTCTGCACTGCATTAGTGAGCATGTCACTACACCATATGTGGGCCAAGCTCAGTTAACAGCCCATCATATCTTTGACATACCTGTTTGCATGAGGTTTCATCACAGCATAACAGAGTTGTACAACACTCAGGGAACAATAATAAGCCACATATGATATTATCATGGTTTTATAATACTTTATCATGCGTACTTGCTTTAAGGTGATATTGGTTATAGAATTTACCATCAATTTAACAATAGCCTTTCCAAAAAGAAGCACTACATTAACTATACACAGTTTTTAGAAATTAACAATATTACATACTTATTCATGCAATCACCTACCACTTTCTTCTTCAGCATCGTAATTAAAGTTTTAGTCTAAGCGTTCTTCATATTCAGAGCAAAAATATTCTTCTGAGTCACTCTCAGCCTTTCAGAGCTATGAATAGAGTTACAGTGACAAACTGCATTCATAACACCTTCACCTGTAGGACAGGCAGTATAATTTCAAGGCATAATAAAGTGCTGAGCTTAGGCGACTTCTACTTTAATTACATTGCTTAGTATGTCAGACAAACTTCAGACTAAATATTACCTGTTTTTTTTTCAAAACTACATCACAAAGTAATTTATCCCAAGAAATTTCAAGCAACAAACTAAATTTATTTAAGAGTCAACCTTGTGGGATGCAACCAATGCAAATAATTCAGCTGAGGTCACAGGAGTATATATACCTTTATGTATTGCTAAGTTCCCATATTACAACTTATTCCTGGGCCTTGTGGCTGACAAGTTTCTTTTGACATCAATTATAAAAGGCATCTCGATTTCAGAAACATAACACTGTGAAAAACACAACCATGTAGGATCAAGAAAATTACATATAAATGTTATACAAAATCACTGTAGCCTTTACTTTAGAGCACTAGGTTAACTGTTTCTTTGTATTTATGGGAGAGTTATTATCTTTTATTGTCACTGCTATTTGTATACACTGCGGTCCCATGGAAAATTTTATTTGAAAATTGATTACAGTATTGTTTTTTAAAAAAATTGTGAAAAACATTGCCCTGGGAAAATGCAAGACACAAGATAGATAAGATAGAGCCTTTGCCTTGAAGGACACATTAAAAGATGCATATTCCAAAAAAAGAGGCAATGAAATGGTCAACAGAGACTTATAAGTCAAAAATTATTCTGGACAATAATCTAATAACTGTTAAGCTACCATTTTCTTCTTCTGAAAAGTCCATTTTGCATGTCTAAATGTTTCACTTACTTTTAAAATTATTCAGTTACCGAAAAAAAGTTATAGAAGACTTAAAATTTTTTCTAGATTTTATTTTAAACTAAGAAAGACTAAAAACTGTATCTTTTAAAGCATATTGCAATAGAATTTAAATAAAGAATATTTTGCAACATGTAAAAGTTATATGAAATTCAAATTTTAATGTTCATAATAAAGTTTAATTGAAACACAGCCATGCTTATTTGTTTGCATATTGTCTATTGCAGAGACTTATGTGGCCCACAAAGCTGAAAATATTTACTATCTAGCCCTTTACACAAAAAAGTATAGCAATGGTCTTTGGTCGAAAAAGTGATGCTTTTGTGTTGGTATTGTTGTTTTAATTTCTAGAGTTTATAGAGATGTTTAAAATAAATAAAACGTACAAAGGGAGCCCCCTATATAGTTTCTCCACCTTGCTTCCTCTAGAACTGTGGTTGCTAATCCCAGCCAACATAGGCTTCATTTTCTTGTCACACCCATAACCAATGCTGGACTCTAAGGTTTAGCCCTTGAATCACCTCTTAATACAGCTGTCAGTACCCCTGGGATTCTGCCTATTATGCTTAATTTTCACACATTTGTCTGACTGGTATCAAATGAAATTCTAGAGTCCCTTTTTGAAATTATTAAGCCTTCACTAGGCATTTGGGAGTAGATGTGAAGTCAGGTAGGAGGTAGTTGCACCTCTGTAGTCCATGCTAAGAAAGAGAACTCTGCATATTTAACAAAGCTCAAAGTTTTAACATAAAACAAGGATACATAACCTTTTCAAAAGTAATGAAAACCTTCTTTTAACACACACAGAAACCTCATCATAGTAGGTGAGCTCCTATTTTTATTCAATCACTGGAGACAATATCTGAAGTCCCAAGCAGATTTTCATACCACATTGAATTTCTATGATCTCTCATATGTTGTGTCCCGTGATGTGAAAAGCACTGCCTAAAGGAGTGAAGTTATCAGGAGGTTCAGACATCAGTTAGCAGGTTATATAGGAGAGTTCTAAGTATAATTTCTAAGTAGAATTTAACCAGTACTGTCCCTAGAACTCAGCTGCTTCTTCCTAACACTCTCAGGTCACACTATGCCACAATAAGGCCAAACAAGTGGGCACTCTACATATTTATAAAACTGTCACCTCAGACATCTTATATCTCTTACCTAAGACTAAGCTCTAAATCACTTTAATACATTTTCAAATAACCATATTACCTAACCCTGAGCCATATACATCATTTCCGTTTCTGGTTTTGAGAGAAGTAGAGTCACATAGGTCTGCACTCCTGCTCCATGCCTTCTTCTCCGATTAAATTTTCTCATTCAATAAGCAGCACCACTGTCCCCTCTATTATCCAAATCAACAAATATAGATGTTATCCTTAACTCTTCTCTTTCCTTCACCTTCAACTACTAATTGATTACCAAACCAGTTGATTTTACCTCCTAAATGTCTTTCAAATCTCTCTCTCTCTCTCTCTCTCCCCGCCCCCTCCCCCCCACCCCACCCACCTCCACCATGGCCACTCTTTCAGCTCATCTTTTCTTTTACAAAACTGCAACAGTATATGAACTGATTATGTCCCTCTCCTGTTTAAAAGCCATGGCTTTTCACTTCCAGTATGATAAAGCCCAAACAAAGCCTACAAAGCCTACAAAGCCCCCTTACGATCTGGCCCCTGCTAGAGTTTCCAGACCCATCTCCCACAAATCTCTGTCACATATTTTATGTTCCCGTCATAGGGAACTTCTCAGGATATTTTGAAGGTGCCATGCTTACTTATCCTGTCAGTCCTCCACACTACCTGTTTAAATTTTTCCTAGCCCATCCCTACCCTCTTTGGATAATTCTAATTGAATAACCTCCTTTAGGTGTGAATACAAAAGACACTTCCCCCAGCAAGCCTTCCTTGACCAGCCTTAGACTGGGTTAAGTGCCCCAGTTGAGTACTTCAATGAAGCCCTCGAGAAAGCTGGGTTTCAGATAATTTGTTCCATAAAGGCAGCAACAATTTCCTTCTTGGCCACCTCTACCTTCTTAACGTCTCACATAGAATACAGAATATGAATGAGGTCATCTTCCAGGTTACCCAGAATCATGACCTACAAAGGAAGTACTGCTGTATCTCAGCTCCTTGGAGCAAGCTATGGGAGAGTTTTCTGGCTATATCCAGGCATAGCTTCAGGCCTGAGTAGTCCTAATAATCCTACGGACCTAGCAAAAATCTTCATTTCCTTACCCCATGAGCAAGAAATTAGCAAGCATGCTATCCTACAAAGGCTAAGGCAGAAGGGACACAAGAAAACTTCGATGGAATAATTGTTCTAAGCATTAAAAATCTGCCCACAGTCCCACTTGCTTTGACCCCTTTTTATCAAAATGATGCCAGCACTGCAGGACTGTTGAATGTCATCGATCTACAATAGACACAGGTCTCTAGGGTTGATCACCATGAACTCATTAACATCACAAAAAAATCTTTATTAAATTGTTCCACGGAAGAGTCTTGAAATGGTCTGAATATCATACTAAACAAATTAGAAAAGGCCCTGACATCCAGAGCTTTACAATTTGGAATCATAATTTATGTCAAAAGATAATAATAAGTTAACAGAGCTGCACAGAAAAATAGCAAAGTTGACAAGCCTTGCAACTTGAATACAGCTGTGAAAAACTCTGAAAAAAGATTTTTCAGAGCTCTGTAGGAATGTAATTCTCTACATCAAGCAATCTAAGAGTAAATTAAATTTTTACAAGCTTCTTGCTAAAAGAAGCCTAAGCTCTTTGCTGACACAATGCCCTACAGTAAAGCCGTAAAGCCACTCTGTAATGCTAATTTCACACTGAAACAACTATGTGGTAAATTGATTCTAGAGCTCTGAAGAGAACCAACAGAAATAGCAATGTTTTCCTCCATGATAATGCACTTGACATATTTGTAAATTAATCTTTCTACAAGATCTCCAAACAACTTGATCTTTATCATAGTCTGTTTTCCCCTTTTGACCTCATTGCATCTCAGAGGTTTTTCTCCAGGAAGATGCCCTACACAGATGCCTCAGGATCAAAATTGCCAAAATTGCTGCTGAGTCAGAGATGTTTTTAACGTTTTGACAACCAACACATAACTGCATGCTAAATAGTTAACACCCTTCCTGATGGTTTTGCAATACTATACTTATATTGTAGCTCTATCACACTGAAATTATAGGCTCTTGTGAAATGACACTAGCAATAATAATGCATTTTATAGCAGTACTCACTCAAGGACCTTTAAACAAGTGTTAACATTTATGTATTGAATATTATTACACTAAGTTCCACTCCCTCCCATAACACATAAATGGAAAACTGGAAAACCGTGATTTCCCTAGTGTAACAGTTAGCTCTGAGGGATATTTTGACTGTCACATCAAACATAAAATATTGATGAAGTAGCTAAGAAAAATAGATTCCACTTCTCTCTTTAGCAAGGAATTAAATATTAAAACTACACTATTCCTTATAAGTATATAAGAATATTACTTGAATCAAGTGATTAATAATTTAACTAGCATATAAAAAACTATAGGAATAAACTTCAAAACAAAGGAGAACTTTTTAAAATTTGCAAAATTAAAAGAAACAATTATATAATTATATATACAAAGATATTTTACATATACAAAGATATTTTATATATAAATAAATGTAATTATAATTTTTGTCATATATCAGGTACAGGAGGTACTTTTAGAACTCTGAGAGTTAAGCTAATCAAAATTAATACAAAATTAACACAGATTCCCAGCTGAAAAATCTCAACTGTGTAATAACAAAACATGGTCAGCAAAAGGATAAATAGAAAAGACTATTGAGGGACTGGTGTAGAAAGTCAACATTTGTTAGTGTTCAGACAACATTGTTCAAGACAGAAGGGCTCCTATCCCAGAGGTGGGCCCCTCCAATTCCTATAGGATGTAAAGCCAAGAGAGAATATGGAAACCCTGGGCTGTCCTCATTGATGGCATTTGCCCATGGACTGACTAAATGGAGTCATGGTAATCGGGAATGCTTGGCAGTTGTATATCACAATATAATTGTTCAACACATATTGGCCTTTGTTTTATGCATCTATTTTATTTTGATTTGGATAACCTAAGGTTTTTCTGATAGACAAACCTGAGATAATGTGTATGTATTGATCAGACCTAGACTAAACCCTTGTTTGGGTAGCCAACTGGTCTTCCTTGGCAACACTTTTACAAACACCCTCAACAAACTGCAAAAATATTTATGGCTTAGCCATAATTTTAGCTTTCCTCACAAATTGCAAACATGTAAATAAAATGTAAATACAAAATCATCATGATGAATTTTTAATAGTGTATCATAATTTATATAACCAAATAAGTGTGGTCCCATTCAAAATGGTCATCTTTATAAATCTTTCATAGTATAATTTTAATTATACTTCCATTGCTCAAAGCACTTATATTTCTCTTCATTAAGCACTGTCTTTAGGCTGACAGGGTGAGGTGGCTTACGCCTGTAATCCCAGCACTTTGGGAGACTGAGTGGGAGGATAACTTGAGGCCAGGAGCTCCAAGAGCAGCCTGGGCAACATAGTGAGATACTGTCTCTATATAACTTAAAAAAAAAAAAAGTTAGCCAGGCATGGTGGTACACACCTGTACACCTGAAGACCCAGCTACTCGTGAGGCAAGATGGAAGGCTCACTTGAGCCCAGGAGGTGGAGGTTGCAGTGAGTTATGATTGTGTCACTGCACTCTAGCCTGGGCAACAGAGTGAGACTCTGTCTTTTAAAAACAAACAAACAAAAGAATTGTCTTTAAAGTTTGCAATGCATTTTTTTTTAATGAAAACACCTAAAATTAGGTAGCACTTGGCTGTTAACAAAGGAAATTATGATGAAAAATCTTTATATTTTCAGAGTGAATTTGATTTTGTGATACAGTCAAAAGTCACTTGGAAGCAAGTCCAAGAGACCAGTCTGGGTAATATAATTTTTAATCTAAAGCAAGCTATGAATATAAAACAATAACAATAAAATAATGTGGCTAATATATACTTATGAGAAGAAATTTATGTATTATTTAGAAAGGCAATTTCATAATAAGAGACCCAAAATTATTTTGATCAAAGGCAAATGTTTAGAATAGGAGTGTGGTTTTTATTAGATAGCTATTTTGAACCACCATACCTATTCTGATATATAAATTCAGGTGTATTTGTTTGTTTTAAAATCTCTCATTACTTTGTGTTTAATAATTACAAAAGTATCTCAAATTATCTTACTGTTAAACTCGAGACTTAGACTATGTGATTCTTTGCTGAATTTCCACCTTAGATCCTAACAATATTTTACTCTTTGGTCTTACTTGAGACTAACTGCAGAGTTTACAGGAGACCCCACATCCCTTGTAAGAAATCAGTGGCACTGTATACTTGGATTCTGTGGGGTTCCCACAGTTCCTCAGTATAGACCTAGACATAGCACAGATATCACGACGAAAATTCAAGTTATGTCATGTGACACACGGTTTGATATACACTCTTACAACTAAACGAAATATGAAAAATTCAGGGCATGAGAGAAGAGACAGAGAGGAACAAACTGAATAACTACCTTAAAAGTTGTGAGAAAATGTAAATTTAAAAAATTTTCCCAAATTAAATAGCACAATCTCTGTTGGTGACCATTTATAAATCAATCCCACTTGTATATGAATTATAAATTATATGCTAATATATCACTTCTAGTTTAAAAATAGCTTCCTATTTCATAAATGTTATTTTCATAAAAGTTTCAATTTAATGTACTTGTTTGCTCTGATAGTCATGAACTACCTGAATTTTTCATGGTGAAATTCTCTCTTAGATTATGTTTATTTTATATATATATATGGATTATGATAGTTCAGATGTTCTTCAAATTTTATACTTGATGTGAAATCCACACAAAATTAAGAAAGTAAGAAATAACTTAGATTTTTTTTCCAAACTTTTTGGTTTTCCAATGACAAAACCTAGACATATAAAGAGATATTCAATACAATCTATAACTCATACCATAATAATTTTACTCTTTTATGACTCTCAAACTGAAGGGATCCTATTCAGAAAGTTAAATTCTAAGGCATTTAACAACATACAATAGAAACATGTGACGTGTTTCCTGTATATCTGGTAAGGCCATGTGAAACACAATTTTTCATAAATTAAATTCTCATACAGGCCCACTCATTGCATATCCAGATTGAGAGTCACAAAATTATACTCAAAGATGAATTGAGCATCTTATATTAACAAGGTGCATGTACTGTGATGAATGTGAAAATATGGTAATCCATAATAATAGCAGTTAACATTAGGCTAACTTTTCACATTCATTTTCTCAAGGGATTAACCCCTATGACAGTCTCCAAATTTTAAAGGTCAAGTCACACACAGAGATGTTAAGGGACCTGCCTCAGGCAACAGAGCTACTAAACAGTAGATGTAGGATCTGAATCAAAATAATCTGACTCCAAAGCCTACCACTTTGAAAACTAAGCAATACTGCCTAACTTAATGCAGAAAATATGTTTTTTACACTTTTAGAATTGCAGTCCAGAAGGCCAGAAGGAAGTTTGTAATCATTGGTATTTTAGGTGATTGTCAGTTCCTATAAATAGTAGGAACTTAACTTTTAAAAACATACCTATTCTTAAAGCACCTTATGAAATATTTTGGAGAACAGAAATGAGTATGCTCTTAACACACTTAGCAGCCTTTGTAATACATTTTCTTTGCAAACCAGCCTGATAGCATTTTTTAACCTATATTAAATGTGTCAGGTGATTTGTAAAAAGAAAATTATATAAAAACCCACTTTGACAGATCAATAGTAAGCTATTTTAAAGTTCATTAGTATTTAGAACTATCCATGAAATATTCATTCTTCTGAAAACTGCATTTTTAGACTGGTTGGCATTTAGGTTCCTCAAAGTTCTCTGCTAAAAAAAGTCTATAATTTATGCCAATTAACATTTTGACTTTATAAGGACTAGGAAAACAGATCAATAGATAAGCCGATTTTATAGGTGGAGTAACAAAAGGTGGATAACATCAACACAAAAAGATAATTCCAAAGAGTAAAGTCCTTCTCTCTCATCCACAGGGAGGAGCTCTCCTTCAAGGGCCAACAGTCTCTCCTTAGCACCGGAGTTCCAGGATTAACTGCACATGCAGAGAACTAAACATAAGAGAGATGTGAAAGCTAAATTCCTTCCCCCCTACACACATATATGAGCTATTTATAACATATTTGACTTTTTTGATACCTCAGTATGCTTATTCATTGGGTAATTATGTGTCAAGTAATGTCCCAAGAGAGAGCAGTACCTATTCATTCATTCACACCAGTATAATAACAGGAACAAAGTAGATGCAATATCCAAAGAACACTTCAAATATGAAGTGCTACATCTAACAACACTTTGCCTAAGATTCCGAACTTAGATGCTATTTTAAAAAATCTCATTAAAGTTTGCAAGCTTCTGTGGCTCATCACATTAGGCTATGAATACAATTTATTAAATGTCAGTTGGATATAACTTCGGTATCTATTCCTATGGCTTTTAAAATTTATAGCTTGTGAAGTAACTTTTTTCAAAATAAATATTTCAACAAATTTGCTTTCAATTTTTGAAGAATCATTTACCTGTGACAAATACTAGATATATCCAGTCTCATAACAATAAATACTTTAAGCATATATTTTCTACCTACCCCAAAATTTTTGTTGGCTGAATTCAGTCAAGAAATGTTTTCTGAGCACTTACTATATGCAGGCATGGCACCTGTATGTGCCAAGAAGACAATCAAGTGTCCAAGGCATGAAGGGGGAAAACCAATAAACCATACTTAGGTACTTATTAACAAGTATTTTTAGTTTCTTAGAAAAATGAAATAAAACAAGTGCATAGTAGCGTACTTGAGTCTTGAGATTCTAACTTTTCAGTTGCAAGTAGATGTGGCTCTCTATTCAATCAGCTTCAGTTCATTCTTCCATCTCTTCTTAATGCTTTCTGTTTTATTCTACAATACCCACATTTTCTTTCAAAACAATGAATGATAGCGCATCTTTTTAAAAACTGCTTATTCCTTTACCCCAAACCCAACCCATACACACGCCCTCCTCTTTCGTGGGCACGTGTCTTTCCGAAGCTCGGTTGGCCACCTTCTCACCTGAAAAAAAGTTTGGAGACAACGCTGGCCTTTTCCAGAGGCGACCTCTGCATGGTCTCTCGGGCGCTGGGGTCCCTGCTAGGGCCGTCTGGGCTCAAGCTCCTAATGCCAAAGACCTACTACTCTGGGTGCCTGCCGCTCAACCCTTTTTCTCTGACCTGCTGTGATGTCATTTGCTTCCAATTCCCCCCACCCACCCCTACTCCGCACACCACCCCTTCCTTTTGCTCTTTCCCCCGCCTTCACTGCCCAGGTTAAAAGCCGAGTGCTGCCTGGTCCGGCCCCAAATTTGCTCTAGCGGCTTTCTCCACCCACTACGCACCCCCGCCAGCACCCCTCCCGCTCCTTCCTCCTCTCCTCCTTCGCTCCCTCGCCGCCCCGCACCTCCCTTTCCCGATTCTGACTCCCAGCCTCCCTCCCTCGCGCGCGCTCCTTCCAGGTCCGTGTCCTTACCGCCCAGCACCAGGCCCATCCCGCAGGTGGGCGACAGTCGCGGCCTCTCTTTAGGTCCAGTTGGCAACGCTGGAGGACAGAAGAAGCCACCGGCGGGAGAACCGGCTCCCCGGAGAGCTTCCTAGACCCTCCTTCGCGTCAGGGTCCGCCAGACCCAGGACCCGCTGCCACCAGCTTCCCCGGAGCCTGCCTTCCTCCTCCTCCTCCTTTTCCCGATGATCCTAGTCGGGTTCCTGTTACGTTTGCAAGGTGCATTTTGAAAAGGGAAGGAAAATGTGCCTTTCGTATATCAAAATACAGCCTTAGAGAGCCGAAAAGTTCCGCGGCAGTGTGGGTCTGATGCATTTACCTTAGCGCTTCCTTTGCGTGTCGGAGAAAAGAACCAAGCTTTATTAGTTTCAGGTTTAGGTGAGTGAACTCCAAGGGTGGCACAGAAATCTTAGGACACGTACTGAAAGAGAAAAAAAAATCTGCAAGGAGGTAAGAGGAGATAATGCTTTGCGTAATTACCGGCCCAGGATGTGTTCCTTGTCTATCCTTTTTAGCCCAGTGCGCATTTTTAAGGAAGGCTTTGGAGTGTTTTAGCGATAATGACAAGGAACAATGTAAACTAACCCGCCCTCCTATAGATTTCCTAGTCTCAGTCAGCAAAACATCTTGACTAATCCACCGAAAGGAAGCCAAGCAGTCTTTGAAGCGAAGGTAATGTGTTAACTTTGACCTGACTCAGAGAAACGCCATCTTCAACTCTCTGAGGGGCATCTGGGCATTCCCAGGCGTAGGCGCCTTCCTTCTGAGAATTTTGTGTAGGATTGCCTGTGTCTCTGACGGTTTTTAAAGAGCCAACCCTCTAATCCCTGAACCCTACTGTGTAAAAGCAAGCATACATTGTGTTTGAATTGAAAAATTCAAAGGAAAGTAAAAATTTTGGCCTGATTACTTTATTGCCGACACATCTAAGGCAAGGGTCTTGTGAATTATCTTGTTGTTGACTTGTGGTCACCCAAATACAGTACAAATAAAATGTGCATTTCATGATGGAAAGACAAGAACCTGTGTTGAAAATAAAGAATGTGTTCAGCAGGTTTTCATAGCTCTGCTTTGCCCTTCCGTGGGCAAAAGCATACCTTTTTTTCTTGATATTGTAAAGTAAGATTTAGAAACATTTAATCTTTATTATCCTAAATTTGAATAGTAGAGAAAAGAGCAAAGAGATAAACCACATTGCATTAAGTTAGACACCAGGAAAGAATTTCAGCATTTTTAACTCACCATCCACTCTGTTGTTTGAAATCCTCTACCTGTGTTTTCATCTCTCCATTATGACAAAAAATTGTGAGACTCTGTCTTCACTATTGACTTTTCCCAGACATGTGATTGAACTCACCACATCCACTTCCCCATTCCCAATCTGTTGTTTGGTTTATAACTGTTAGTGTGGCCCATCAAATATAATACATGCATTTTGAAATAAATTAATAATTAGTTCTTCTTTGTTATCAACAAGCAAGTGAAAATAAAGGGATTAAGAATTAAGCTCCAAAGAGGATCATAGAAGCTGACCAAGGAATATGGCTGGAGGAGACTCCAAATATTTTTCAGCCAATCTCCTTCTGGAAAGAGTGAAACAGTTACTTGAGTTCTTACTATTTGCCAGACATTATTCATATAACCCTTATAACAACCATGTAAATAGGTGTTATTATCTTCAGTTTTCAGTTAAGCAAACAAGAAAAGTTAAGTAAATGCCTATAATGATAGAGCTAAGATTCAAACCTGAGTCTAGTTCTAAACCATTACTCCTATCACTGTGTAATACTGCTTCTAATCAAATCATCCCTCATGTATTTATATAATGTCACTTATATATCAACATAGTCTTTTTCCTCACATTAGTTTCATGAAATAATAACTTCTAGACCTGTTTAACAATGAAACAGGAAAGCAGAAATCTACAAACCAAGTAGCCAAACTAAGTAGCCACTGGAGTTACATACTTTTAATGAATTACATTTAACTATAACATTGCATTTTAAGCATGTACACACACATGTACATAGGAAGACCACAGATTTTTATCATAAAACATTACAGCCCAAATTTGTTTTGGTAGAAATAAAACTTTACCATTATTCAGAGCTTTAACACAGTTAGCAAGCATGTCCAGATGCACTAATTGCGACATGATATTCAGGATTTGCATCTAGGTACATACATAATGTGGGAATGAGGACTTATCCACCAGAAAATTGTTCAAATGTGGCTTAAGGTCATGATTGAAATCCTAAACGTATCTCTGAAATGTCAGGAACAGGAAAGAGATTAATGGGCCAGGGTGATAGTAGGTGAAACAGTGAAGCTCTTCTTTCATGCTGCTCAATGATAGCTCATATCATTTTATAACAATTTTATAATACCTTATGGTTGTTGGTCACTTACCATATATGCCAATTATTATGACAAATACACAGCCTAATTTGCCTTTTTTAATCTTTACAACACCTTCATGGGACAGGAAACTTCTTCATTCACTATATATTACAGATAATGAACCTGAGGAAAAACAAGTTTCATGTTTTCCCAAGCAAGTTGCACAATTAATAATAAAAGAGGAAACTGGGATTTAAACCTAAACAATCTGTGGCCAGAGCCCAAGCATTTAATGACTGACTACACATACTTCACATACTTCCCCTATAGAATTTCCTAATGCAAGAACTGACCTTAAATATAGAAGATTGGGTGGCCATTTCTGTGGCATCATTTTAAAGGTATATTAAAAAGAAGAGCGAGGATGAGTAGGAGAAAAGGAAGCCAACATTTATTTAATACCTACTTTGTGTTCAGCAATGTGCTGGGTGCTTCTTACAAATGATCTCAATATATGAAAGATTATAAGTGATAACCTTCTCGTCAAAGATTAGTCACCCTGCCAGGTTTCACCATTAGAAATCATGAGAGTGAACTTTCACAATACTTTACTTATCCATCATGTTCAACTTAATTTGAGAGTGTTTCTCAGATTCTCTCCTGAGTAGACTTTAATAGTGATAAGTGGGTAGCAATCACAAGTACACTAAAACCTGAAAATGTGGAAGAAGAAAAGAAATAGTCACTCCTATCGGGAAGAAAAGCTCGTTAAAAAAAGACAAGGTCTCTTCAGCTTCATATATGTAGTCTGGTTGTGCTTATAAGTTTATCTAAGCTAGAAGGGTAAGAACAGCCACAGCTCTTCAACAGTGGGCCACAGTGATTACCTAGGATGTAAACACACATTACAGTCTTACAAAGATGTTTCAGGACTTGAAAGAGGTGTCCTGGGACATGACTAGGCCAGATTCTAGTTTACTTTTACTGCTTCCAAAATAATGTTTGGTCTGACAATTCTGTTTATAAACACACACGCACACCAACTTCTATTTACATACATTCATAACCCCTCTTCCCTACAACCTCCTTGGAGGCACGAATTGCATCTTATGTTTTCCTTTGAATTCACCCCTTATTTTGTAATACAGTATATACACTCAAACAACCGTTTTCTCTTGGGGTTACTGACCTAATAATTGAATGTCATTCTAAAGGGGATATTTGAAGATGCTCAAAAGATGAATGTTTACTATTAATTTTTCACCAAGCAAGAGCTTGGGTGCTAAAGCAGATGTACAGAATAAGGCAGTATCTCCATCCTTCAAAATTTAGAATCCACTGATGGACATCAACATTCTCTGAACATGACAGAGTATAGTGGAAATAGCTTGTGCTAAAGCAATAAAGAACTAGGTTTTCAATCCTGGCACCACACTTAGCTCTGTGACCTTAAGTAAGCTACTTAACTTTTCTGTCTTTTGTTTCCTTGCCTGAAAATGAGGTTAAATACACTCACCTTGGTCAGGTGCCATGGCTCATGCCTGTAATCCCAGAACTTTGAGAAGCTGAGGCAGGAGGATTGCTTGAGCTCAGGAGTTTGAGATCAGCCTGGGCAACACAGTAAGACCTTGTCTCTACAAAAAAATAAAAAAAATAGCCAGGTGTGGTGGTGCATGCTTCTGATCTCAGCTACTTGGGAGGCTGAGGCAGGTGGATGGCTTGAGCCTGGGAGATCGAGGCTGCAGTGAGCTGTGATCATGCCACTGCACTCCAGTTTAGGTGACAGAGTAAGACCTTATCTCAAAAAAAAAAAAAAAATCACCTCATAGGATTGTTGAACAGATTAAGTTAGGGTCTCTCTACCTCAGTACTACTGACATTTGGGTGTGGATAATTCTTTGATGTGGGGGTTGCCCTTGTACTGTGGAATGTTCAGCAGTATCTCTAGCTTCTATTCACTGGATGCTCGTAGGACCACATACATCCTAGGTTGTGACAGATAGATCTGGAGATCCAGGACTATCTCCAGAGATTGCCAAATATGTTGGGGAGAGAGGTACAAAGTTGTCCCCAGTTAAGAACCACTGGATGAAATAAATTAAATGTGATACATATATCAGACGTAAAGCACTTAGAACCCAATAAACACTTAATAAATATTAGAAATTATCATTACATACCACTGGTTATAAATTAGAAATTTGTATAGGATTGCAAAATGGAATGCTACAGAAAACTGAACTCTCTAAAAGCTATCAGAATTCTCAGGAACATTGGAATTTCTCATTCCTTAAGAAATTTTTGGTATTTGAACTAAATGTAAAGGGGTAAATCAAGTACTCTTGCAATTGTAAAATCATTTTTATTTAGAGGCAAACTTCTATTTTTCTATGGTGAAAATGTCCCTTTGCATTGAAATAACATTTTAAAGCTCTGTTGTTTGGTTGCTCTAATTTTCAGCTCATCAACAGTGGTGTATTTGTAACTGTGTCCAGATGGAATTTGGCACCCTGATGGGTCTTCCGTAGCTTAAAGGTAGTTTCTCATTAAGGAAGTCTTAAAGATCTTCAAGCTGTACAAAACGGGAGCTTATTAATGCTGCTAATGAACTGAAATAATTATGAACAACATCAAAAATATCACTTTGTCATAAATGTAAAAGCTACCAAATCCTGTAAGATTTTCTAAAGCTACCATTCATGAAATGTTTTATGGTTTTTATGGGTTCTCTTCTCATTTTCCTGCTGAAGCTTTTCTAGAAACAAGGGAATTCATAACACAGATTAAATTTTCATTGGTGATATCATGCTAAAGGCCAGATGCCACCTATAGAATTAGATATTATAAATTTGAATTCTAAAAAGAAAAGTAGTGATCTTTTTTCTGAGATGAGTTCTGTGGTAATTTACATGCTACATAGAAGAGTTATATTTAGAAAGGCAGGGGTGCACAGTAAGTAGAACAGTGAATTATTTATTTATAACTGTTTCCCTCTAAATAGATAATTAGTAATCAAAACAGTAAAACAGGGCATTTGAAATAATAAGAGAGACATGATAGAAAAATTTTATTGCACATGGGCACTAACAGCAATTCTGAAAGTCTTGGCTGTCAAAGCCCAGTCCATTGTATTATTCTCATAATCTGATATCTGAGAAAAGGCAATATGTAAGTTCACCTGGAAAGAAAAACCATCTTCCCTCCACCCCATTCATGGAAGAGTTTGCTGTTTAGAGACTTATATCACTGAGTGGTATCATGGACAGTATTTTCAGCTATAATTTTCTCAAAAACATTTATTTTATGGTCATTTCTTATACCAGTCTATGATCAAAAACCAAGGACGGGACATGAAGTCACTTAAAGAAGGCTTGTTGACCTGGAAAACTAAAATTCAAGAATTCACAGGTTTAGGGACTCCTTTCTGATTTGCTTTAACTTCCACTATATAGAAAGAGTCTATGAAATCTCATTGTTTTAGGGTCATTTATTGATCTTCAAGTTCAATGTGATTGGTGAAACTACAGTGATTAATCTGTATGGTCAAAAGGACAGCCAATTCCCAGTTCAGTGACTATGGCTCACTGGCCTCCACAGCCTGCATCCTTGTGTCTGAGACAGTGACTGGCATCTCCTCGCTTCAAAGGCTGTTGAGAGGCAACACTGATGAAGTGATGGCAAAATACTTTGGAACTCTTATTTACATGTGCAAAAATTATATTTAAAGACATGTATGAAAATTGCCTAAGTACTTTCTAGAACAAAGTATATCATGCTAATGAAGCAAAATCAAATTGATAAATTTGTATCATGTTTTTCACCCAAAAAAATTAACTTACAAAGTTTTACCTAAAAATATAATTTTTCAAAAAAAGCAAATTAAGTTTAGTATGGTACCGTCTTTGTAAGAAAAAAATGTCTGTTATGTATACTTGTTTGTTGTTTAAATTACATTATGTGCCTCAGGAAAGACCCTATAAAGTTAGTACATTTTATTATTAACATCCCAATTTACAAATGAAGAAACTGAGGTACAGAAGGTCAAATGCCATGCCCAAATTCAAGAAAGAGTGCCAGAATCTGAACAAACCCAGTTGTCTGGCTCCAGAGCTGAGTAGTTAATCACTGTGATCTCTGTGTAACTAGACCACATAGAACTCTTTTGTTTATTTAATTAAGAGAAGGTGCCTTATATAATTTATGTTCTTGCTTCTCTGTTTAGGTGAAAACAAGGACTTATCACAAACTAGACTTGTATTTTTTTCTTCATTTCTTCTGAATTTATTGAATGGACCCTCTTCATTAGAGGAATGAAAAGTATGCAGGTGTCTAGGAGGAGAAGAAAGAAGAACAAGCTCTTTTCTGTGGCTTGACAAAGACTACTTCTATTTCTTTTGAGATTCAGTGTAGTTAGAATCTGTTTGGTGTGTTGAGATGACCCCAAATGAAGTATGCAAACAGAAATACCAAAGATCCCAAGGAGAACACATTACATCATAAGAGAGAAGTTTAATGCCAACACCTACTATGTGGTGGGAGATGGGTTCTTGTTTCTGCAGCTGAAACTGGAAGCTTGTCTTTACTCACCCATCCTTAGGTGCTAGGTGGGCTTTGGAAACTACTATAGCAACTTTGGAAGTCCAAGAATAAAGTATTCCTGGCTGATATTAAGGCTGGGAGAATGAGTTTCATCTTCCAGGAACTGCTGTGACCTGTGCAGGGATCTGTTCCAACAGGGTGATAATAGTAGCAATAGACTGGGATGCATCTGACTCTGTGGGAGGACCTATTTTCATCAGTGACACAATGCTGTGGTGACAGAGGCTCTTGCAGCAGAAAATGGGGTGGGGCATGTGACAATGGACTAGTCAGATCCTTCATATTCTCCTTTTTCTAGTGTTTAGAAACAGAAATTACCTCTTTGAACCAAGAAAACTTGGAGTTCTTGGACAATTAGGGGTAGAAAAAGTTCTTTAGAAAAAGTTTCTGGGCTTCTTGCTAACTTCAATGTTTTAAACATTTAAAGTTAAGAAGAGATGTGACCTTATTTGTACTCCAAAAACTGGGTAAAAGGAGACCTACAGGTCACATATACATGTTTGCATAAGCATTGAAAAAAGCCTGGAAGGATGTATGTCATAATTATGTCAAAAATTTATAAACTTTTTAAATATTTATGTTTCAAAATAAAGAATTGCATCTTGGAAAGTAAAGTGACTTTCTGATTCCATTCCACAAATGTTTTTGGAAAGCTTATAGTGTTCCATCTCTGTGCCAGGCAGTGGACATAGTAAACAAGACAGGATTCTGCTACAACTTCCAACGAGCTTCTTAGATCTAAATTTTACTACAACTCTGACAAAGCAAAGCATTACTTCTCTGAGCCCAAAGAAAATTACCAGCATCATTGTCTCTTGTATTTATTCTGACTTTCCTCAGTCCTGCAAAATCTACAGTAACTCCCTAGTCTCCTTCGATTTCCCTTTTTTGTACTTACCCAGGCCTACATTTTTCCCCCATTCCTGTTTTAAGACTGAAAACAAAATCTTCTCAAGAGTCATTATAGTTACAAAGATGCCCTGTTGGGAATAGAAGACAAACACTTTCTTCATGTAACTTTCAATGTTAATTAGATCCCTCTACTGTTCATTAGCAGTTAATATTCTTATAAATCTTTTAAGTTGTATTATCTTGCATAAGTGCCAAAGTTCCACTGCACTTTACTTTTTACATGTTAAGAGCATTAATTTTGGCTGGGCGCAGTGGCTCACGCCTGTAATCCCAGCACTTTGGGAGGCCGAGGCAGGTGGATCACCTGAGGTCAGGAGTTCGAAACCAGCCTGGCCAACATGGTGAAACCTCGTCTCTACTAAAAATACAAAAATTAGCTGGGTGTGGTGGCGGGCGCCTGTAATCCCAGCTACTCAGGAGGCTGAGGCAGGAGAATCGCTTGAACCTGGGAGGCAGAGGTTGCAGTGAGCCAAGATCACGCCATTGCACTCCAGCCTGGGCAACAGGAGCAAAACTCCATCTAAAAAAAAAAGCATTAATTTTTTAAATGCAAATTTAAAATCTAAAAATTTTAAATTTTTAACACTCATTTTGGCTTTTTTTTCCTTAACAAAAGGTACTAGGAAACTAAAAAATGAAAGTGCCTCACTCAGTTCTGTTTCTCTAAGAGGAAACTCAAACTCCCACTCAAACTCCCTACTCATCTCAAAGGCCAGGCTAAGACATGTGAGGTATAAGAGCAGGTTCTTAAGCCCCTGTCAATGCAGATTCCTTACCCAAAGCAAAGCAGGAACTTCACTTCTCATGCCCCTCATGTCAGACGACCTGCATGCCCTCAACACTAATGGGGAACAGAAACCTTTATCCTTTCTGCACCTGCCTCGTGCTTGGCACTGTGGGAACCCCAGCGACTGAAAGCTCCCTGGACAACAGCCAAGCCGTGGTGGAACACCCAGTCCCATGCTGCAGGCTCATCGCCAGCCACCAAGCCAGCCATTGGCTGTGATTGCACTGCTATGTTTTCAAGACCCAGTATGGTCATGATTCTAATTGTCTTTAGGAATTCTTTTTGTTAATTACTTATCCAATAACAAAGCAAATGCCTCTTGGAATTATTTACTGCTCTAAAATGGGGTGGGGGAAAAACCTATTTGATTATTACATTCTATCCTACTTGCCTTGAAGAAAGTAAAGATGAAAAAAAAGTTGATGTGAAATAAACATCTGGGAAAAACTATATACTTGTATCCGATCACCTAAATGTGTTCTCATACAAACAACAATGAATTTGAGGCTTGTAACACTTTGGATAATTCAAGAAAGATGGACTATTTCCTGTAATCTGTTTCTATAATCACTCATTATTAAATTTAAGACATACTTTCCTTTAGCTCTGTAGGTAAACATACCTTAGATCATCTCATTTTAAAATATATTTTCTATCAGACAGCACCACATAGGGCTTTAGAACTCTTCCACTGAGTGTGATCTAAGGTTTCATCATTTATAAAATGGTGGGAAGAACAGCTTCCATTACACAGGGCTGTAGTGGGAATTAAATGAGTTAATATAAAAGAAAAAAATTTAGCGCACTGATTGACATAGGATAAGTGCTCAATAAATTGTGTGTGTATCAAATTTTACATCCTCACATTAATGATTCACTGAATATTGAACTGACTCTTCCATGATTTTTCTCATGAAATAATAGAATGTGTATCATATAATTCATTATGATTTTTTAAAATGATTATCTTCTCAACCAGTTTTATTGTGCTTATTTACTCCATTCCAAAATAAAGGAATATAAAACTCAACAATAAGAAAACAATCAGCCGGGCATAGTGGCTCACGCCTATCCTACTTGCAATCCTAGCCTGTAATCCTAGCTTTGGGAGGCCAAGACAGGCAGATCATCTATGGTCAGGAGTTTAAGACCAGCCTGACCGACATGGTGAAACCTCGTCTCCACCAAAAATACAAAAAAATTAGCCAGGTGTGGTGGCGGGCGCCTGTAGTCCCAGCTACTCGGGAGGCTGAGGTACGAAAATCACTTGAACCCGGAAGGCAGAGCTTGCAGTGAGCCGAGATGGCGCCACTGCACTCCAGCCTGGCTAAAGAGCGAGACTCCGTCTCAAAAGAAAAAAAGAAAAAGAAAAAGAAAACAATCAACCCAGTTTAAAAAAAGTAAGCAAAACATCCGAACAGACACATACTAAAGAAGATATACAAATGGGAAACAAACATATGAAAAGAAATCCACCATCATTTGTCATTAGAGTATTACAAATTAAAACGACAATGAGATACCATCACTCACCTTTTAGAATGGCTAAAATCCAAAAAACTGACAATACTGGATCACTGGCAGGAGTTGCTGGTGGCACAATGGTACAGCCACTTTAAAATACAGTTTGGCAGTTTCTTGCAAAGCTAAATATAGTCTTACTATACTATCTAGCAGTCATGTTCCAAGGTATATTGATATACTTCAATCAGCGAATGGATAAACAAACTGTGGTACATTTCTATGATAGAATACTACCCAGCAGTAAAAAGTAATGAACTACAAGCCACATAAGGACATGGATGAATGTTAAATGCATATTGCTAACAAAATAAGCCAGGGTGAAAAGTCTACATATTGTATGATTTCAATTATATGCATTCTGGAAGAGACACAGCTCCACGATAAACAGATCAGTGGTTGCCAGGAGTTTGGGAAAGGAGGGGAAGGGTTGAATAGGCAAAGGACAAGGGATATTTTTAGGGCAGTGAAACGATTCTGTATGACATTGTAATGATGGGTACATGACACTTTGTATTTGTCAAAACCTATAGAACTTTACAGCACAAAGAATAAACCTTGATGTATATGAATTTAAAAAATAATAATTTAGGAGATTGGAGAGGAGGGAACCCTAAAATGGAATGCAGACTGCAAAAAAAGAATCTGTGTTACTAACATATGAAACAACTTCACTAGGAGGAGTATGAGTGAAATGTTCTGGACTAAGCAACTTTGAAAATGAGTAGAGTCAGTAAAACTAAAGATAGAAGAACTTACATAAGCACCACTCTAGTTGACAAAGTTGTATCCCACAGGGCTATATGTAATAATTCTGAAGCCACTGTATACATAAACTGGAAATGAGAAATTAGGTAAGCAGATAGTAGGTGGTGGAAGACAGATTTTTCACGGTTTGAAATAGGAAGTTACAGATAAGCAAGAGGAAGAGGCTAGAATAATCTATACAGTAATTGATTAGAATTGAAGACACCATATGAACTCATATTTAGCTTAATAAAGATACAGATGTTACATATCGAAATAATCATAGATGTATGTGTACACATAGGTTAATATACACACATATATTTCTTTGCTCTGTCAGCTGAGAAAGAACCTAAAAATAACAACATCTCAATAGCAACCACCATACCACAGTGCCCAGACCTTAGTTTCTAACACCATTCTCCAGTAAAAGGAACACTGACTTTAGTTAGTACTAATGTATCAATATTGGTTCACTAATTGTGACAAATGTAACATACTAATTTAAGATGTTAATAGTAAGAGAAACTGGGAGGGGGTTGTACAGAACCTCTTTGTAGTATCGTCATAATTTTTCTGTAAATTTTTATTTTAAAAAAAGTTTTTTTATTTACTGACATTTGGCACATTTTCTATGCAATAACAAGTTACTAACAATTTAAACCTTTAACAATTTTAATACTTAATATCTCAAGCCCAGTGAGATCCCTTTATGTCATTTTAGCACTATCAAAATTAATACTCTTCATATTTTTTTTCAATTAGATATTTCTCTTGCAAGGGTGACCATGAGATCTCGGGCTTACAGCATGAACTGCCTAAGTCTGAAAAACTAGCTTCAAGTTGGGTTACTCTGTGACTTAAAAAAATACACTTTATGCCCGGTGGGATTTATTTTTCAGTGGGAAATAAATCATGTAAAAAATAATAAATATTTCTTAAAAATTAAAAAAAAACACTAAATTTCTTCATCCCAAGAAAGCTCACAGGAAAAAGTAAATCTTCATGTACTTATGCCAACCC
This sequence comes from Homo sapiens, assembly GCF_000001405.40. Classification (NCBI taxonomy): domain Eukaryota; kingdom Metazoa; phylum Chordata; class Mammalia; order Primates; family Hominidae; genus Homo; species Homo sapiens. Next base: position 117,467,735 of record NC_000007.14, on the reverse strand, counting down.
AGGACCATCAAACTGGTCTGCAATTATTCAAAAATCTGTAGCAATTATTAACAGGATGCAATTCATCAACCATACCAAACTTGCAAGGTAATATTAACTACTGGCTATGAGAGTTGTATGACTTAAAAATAAAAAGTGTTAAATTAAATTTAAAATAAAACATTTACCTATGTAACAAACCTGCACATCCTGCACATGTATCCTGGAACTTAAAGTAAAATTTTTTTTTAATGTAAAAATAAAAAAAGAAAGAAAAAGTGAGTTTGGCCACAGAGTGGTGACAAATTTCTACTCCTATTGTATAGTGTAAAAACACTTGGATTCGAGAAAAACATTACATTAAAAGAGATTCAACCTCAAAGTTCTATTTTCTATTTTCTCTAGGAAAGGATTTTACTTAAATAATTATATTCAATCTGTACCTTTCCATATCTCCACTCATTTTATCCTCTAATTCTTCTATATTTACCATTACTGACTTTCAATTTTAAATATTTAAGTATTATTGCAATGAACTAACAAAGAGGTGTAACATTTCACTCAAAAAAAGCATTTTGGAAGTAGTCAAAGTTGACCATTAATAGTTTTTACATCCTTACTGAAAAACTTTTAGTAAAACATGTTTTGAAAGTAAAATATTTTTATTTGTAGAACAACTAATACATGGAATGCAGTGGCATAAACAAGGCTCACTATAGCTTCAACCTTCTAAGGTCAAGCAATCTTCCTGCTTCAGCCTCTCGTGTATCTGGGATCACAGGTGCACACCACCATGCCTGGCTACGATTTTTATTTTTTGTAGATACAGGGCCTCACTTTGTTGCCCAGTCTGGTCCCAAACTCCTGGGCTCCAGCAATCATCCTACCTCAGCATCCTGAAGTGCTGGGATTACAGGTGTGAGCCACTACACCTGGCCAGAACAACTAATATTTTAAGTCACTGAAGAATGAAACATGGATCTTTGTTGCTGTCTTGTTTTCCAATATGAAGCAAACCCACGATATATCCAGGATAAGCAAAATGCAAGAAATTGATTTGTATTAAGTCTCTAATATGCTAAGCCTTTTATATGGTTGTTATTCCCCATTTAATGCTCTCAATATACTTATGAAATAATTATTACTACACATACTTTTTACTCTTGAGTAAAATAAGATTCCAAAGAATCTTTAACACACCTGCCTATAGCCTCACATCTAGTATTGGTAGTCCTGAATTAGGTCTAACCAATCCCATGACCACACTTTTTCACTATATTGTTGTAGGGTAAAATATCAGTAAATCAAAATCATTGAGAATAGGAAATTGTAAAATTAATTTTCTTTAAATTTGTAACAAGAGACCTCAAACTGAGACAAAAAAAAAAAAAGGTTTTTTGTTTTGGTTTTTTTTTGTTGTTGTTTTTCTTTTTTTTTTCTTTTTCTTTTCTTTTCTTTTCTTTTTTTTTTTTTTTGGAGATGGAGTCTCGGTCTGTCGCCCAGGCTAGAGTGCAGTGGCGCGATCTCAGGTCGCTGCAATCTCTGCCTCCTAGGTTCAAGCAATTCCCTACTTCAGCCTCCCCAGTAGTTGAGATTACAGGTGCCCGCCACCACGCCTGGCTAATTTTTGTATTTTTTGTAGAGACGGGGTTTCACCATCTTGGCCAGGCTGGTCTTAAACTCCTGACCTCATGATCCACCCACCTCGGCCTCCCAAAGTGTTGGGATTACAGGCGTGAGCCACCATAAAGGTTTTCTACTGTGTAACACTTGTGAAATAATTTGAACTGAAAACTTCAACTGGCTTCTTGATTTTTGGCATTTAGCAAAAGACACTGTATGGTTTGTTCCCTTGAGTCCCAAGAGAGTTATATTACAATGCAAATAGTAAGAAAGGAGTGAATAAAGAAGCAAAACCCTCTTACCTTTTCAACACTCAGGAGAAGTCCAGTTGATGGGGCACCTCTCATTCAAAAGTTCAGGCTAAGACCTCAAATCATTGTCCAACACCTGTGGTTGGCAGAAAGAGTGAAGGATAAATTATGGATGTGGAGGATAATGGAAGTTTTGCTGGGCTTCAGTATGAAATTCCATGTGGTTATATATATAAATCAAGCCACGTAGTGGGTTTTGTTTTATAATATTGCACAGAAATATTAAAATTTATAGTCCTTCCAAATAAGATAAATTTTAAATTTTCATTGGAGACTTTGACATGGTTGGGACTATATTGCATGTTTCACAATTACAAAATTAACAGGATTTTGTCCACAAATAAGTGTGTATTTTCAGATGCCTGTTGGACATATACATGCCTACTCAACTGAAAAGTACTGGGCAGTATTAAAACTATCCTTTCAGGCATATTTTTTGTTTGTTTTTTGATACAGGGTCTCACTCTATCGTGCAGGCTGGAGTGTAGTGGTGTGATCTCAGGCCACTGCAACCTTGACTTCCCTGGCTCAAGCAATCCTCCCACCTAAGTCTCCTGGGTAGCTGGGACTACAGGCACGTGCCACCACACCCAGCTAATTTTGTTTATTTTTTGCAGAGATGAGGTCTCTCAATGTTGCTCAGGCTGGTCTCAAACTCCTGGGCTCAAGCTATCCTCCCGCCTCGGCCTCCCAAAGTGCTGGGAGTACAAGAATGGGCCACCGTGCCCAGCCTCAGGCATATTTTTGTACGTACAAACTGTCTTCTTGAAATTTTTCCTTAGGTTTTATGAAACTGTCCTCACCTTTTTCCATAAAATCCTATTTTTATCACATCTGCATATTGATATTCAGTTTTCCCAAGGTTAAGTTCTATTGTGATTTATTTAAAATGCTTTCGTGCGCTTTAGTTAAAAACAAATTGTAGGTTAACAAAATGCTTTTTACTTTTGGTGAATATAAAAATTTGTGGATAAAAATGAGAATACGAAAGAGGTGTGAGGACGGGTTATTCAAATTACAACTTACTTCCAGTCATAGAAAAACCTTTAGTGCTATTATGGATTTTTAAATGTTTTTAACATGTGATACATTTTAAATAAGTGTAAATAAATTAACATTTAAAATAATAAATTTCACAAATAACTTCATCTTTCAAGTTTTTCTGTATTAAATTATGTATCTCTTACAAGTGATTCTTGCAGAGGACATTTCAGAAGCACATGCATTTAGTATAAGTTAATTAATTCAAACTTCATCACCCCTTATGTCCAATCCATCTCTATCCTTGCTCCTTGAATCAACCCTGCTCCTTGAAAAAGCATCAAATCTCTCAGTTGCATGGAGGTAGGAGAAAAACTTGATGCCTAATGTTTAAACAACCAAATTTCCTTTCTTACTGCTGAATTATAACAACTCATTTCTTGTTCTCCTTTTCACTATAAAATAATTTTATAGGAAAGGTTGGGTTCATGTTAATTTAGCAAAGTAGGGCTTGAAACATATCATTCTACTAACTAGTCTAAGGGAATGAGATTATATCATAAAAAAATCTAAATACATACATGTCAAAAAAATAAACAATGGTAATTCTTATGATGAGTTCTTACTCCCAGGTGTGCTAATTTATATGCTCTATACTAGAAAGAGAATTACAAAGATACATAATTCATGTATTTATGCTCCTCAGGTATCCCATACCTCTAACTATGCAAAATTAAGCTATATTGTCCAATAACAAAGAATGATTGAGTATTCATATCAGTTTGCACTCTTATGGTAATGATTTCTAAATACATTGAAGTGACAGAATTCTTCATTTTCCACCTGTAGGCTAGTTTTGAAAAATAAATTATACTAATTCTTATGAAGCATTCATCTTTGTTACTAACTCAGGAGAGTCATGGAGAATACAATTTGACTTTTCATGTGCCTCATAGTGCAGGGAAATACATAACTAGTTAATCAGGTAGTAAAAATGAGTACTTTTTTTTGAAAAGTGTCTGTTCATATCCTTCACCCACTTTTTGATGGGGCTGTTTGTTTTATTCTTGTAAATTTGTTTAAGTTCCTTGTAGATTCTGGATATTAGCCCTTTGTCAGATGGATAGATTGCAAAAATTTTCTCCCATTCTGTAGGTTGCCTGTTCACTCTGATGATAGTTTCTTTTGCTGTAAAGAAGTTCTTAATTTGATCCCATTTGTCAATTTTGACTTTTGTTGCCATTGCTTTTGGTGTTTTAGTCATGAAGTCTTTGCCCATGCCTATGTCTTGAATGGTATTGCCTAGGTTATCTTCTAGGGCTTTTATGGTTTTAGGTCTTACATTTAAGTATTTAATCCATCTTGACTTAATTTTTTTATAAGGTGTAAGGAAGGGGTCCAGTTTCAGTTTTCTGCATATGGCTAGCCAGTTTTCCCAACACCATTTATTAAAGAGGGAATCCTTTCCCCATTGCTTTTGTCAGGTTTGTCAAAGATCAGATGGTTGTGGATATGTGGTGTTATTTCTGAGGCCTCTGTCCTGTTCCATGGGTCTATATATCCATTTTGGTACCAGTACCATGCTGTTTTGGTTACTGTAGCCTTGTAGTATAGTTTGAAGTCAGATAGCATGATGCCTCCAGCTTTGTTCTTTTTGCTAAGGATTGTCTTGGCTAGATGGGCTCTCTTTTGGTTCCATATGAAATTTAAACTAGTTTTTCCTAATTCTGTAAAGAAAGTCAATGGTAGCTTGATGGGAATATCATTGAATCTACAAATTACTTTGGGCAGTATGGCCATTTTCAAGATATTGATTCTTCCTATCCATGAGCATAATATTTTTCCATTTGTTTGTGTCCTCTCTTATTTCCTTGAGCAGTGGTTTGTAGTTCTCCTTGAAGAGGTCCTTCACATCCCTTGTTAAGTTGTATCCCTAGGTATTTTATTCTCTTTGGAGCAATCGTGAATGGGAATTCACTCATGATTTGGCTGTTTGTCTATTATTGGTGTATAGGAATGCTTGTGATTTTTGCACATTGATTTTGTATTCTGAGACTTTGCTGAAGTTGCTTATCAGCTTAAGGAGTTTTGTGGCTGAGACAATGGGGTTTTCTAAATATACAATCATGTCATCTGCAAACAGAGACAATCTGACTTCCTCTCTTCCTATTTGGATACTCATTATTATGCAGAGAACAAACATGGAAAAAAACCTCATCATCATTGGTCATTAGAGAAATGCAAATCAAAACCACAATGAGATACCATCTCATGCCAGTTAGAATGGCGATTCTACTCTGTTGTCAGGAAACAACAAATGCTAGAGAGTATGTGGAGAAATAGGAACACTTTTACACTGTTGGTGGGAGTGTAAATTAGTTCAACCACTATGAAAGACAGTGTGGCAATTCCTCAAGGATCTAGAACTAGAAATACCATTTGACCCAGCAATCCCATTACTGGATATATATCCAAAGGATTATAAATCATTCTACTATAAAAACACATGCAGACGTACATTTATTGCAGCACTATTCACGATAACAAAGACTTGGAACCAACCCAAGTGCCCATCAATGATAGACTGGATAAAGAAAATGTGACACATATACACCATGGAATACTATGCAGCCATAAAAAAAAGAATGAGCTCATGTCCTTTGCAGGGAATGGATAAAGCTGGAAACCATCATTCTCGGCAAACTAACACAGGAACAGAAAACCAAACACTGCATGTTCTCACTCATAGTGGGAGTTGAACAATGAGAACTTATGGGCACAGGGAGGGGAACATCACACACCAGGGCCTGTCGGGGGGTGGGGAGCAAGGAGAGGGATAGCATTAGTAGAAATACCTAATACCTAATGTAGATGACGGGTTGATGGTTGCAGCAAACCACCACAGCACATGTATACCTGTGTAACAAACTTGCAGCTTCTGCACATGTATCCCAGAACTCTTCCCCAATATCTAGTTCTCTGACCTTCAAAGTGTAAAACAACTGAAAGTTAAATTTAGATATTAAATTAGACTTTAATAACTTTCAACCTTATTTCTGAATAATATGATTACATAAAAATAGAAATTCATTGTATAATATTTATATATAGCATCGTTTTGGTGTGTAATTAAACTGAACTCATTTCAGTGAACATTTATCAGAGATCTACATGTGAGGGCCCCTCATAGAGAGTCCAGAGGGTCCGTTGGCCAAGGCCTCAGATTAACAGTCCTAGAGGTAAACTGACAAGACAGAAAGAAGAAAACACGCAAAACACACAACACTATACTTGCGTACAGTTATCAGACTATGCCAACTTAAAAATAGCATGAGTTAAATATTTTAGAAATCCTATAATTATCTTAAGCAGCACACAATTACATTGGGGATTATTGTGGGCATGTATGTGTTTTCATCACATCCATTTTTTGACGTAACATTTAAAATATGCCACAATTTTGTAACCCTGGCATTTTTCAGTTTTTAATATACTGAGGGCCTGAAAAAATACAAAGAGCCCTGGTGTCTCTGAATGACTCTGCCAGTTGCAGGACATCATGCTAATCTCTGGGGACACCAAGACACAGTCCCTACTATCAAGGAGCTTATAGTTGGCATATAAAGAGAAACAAATATACAAATACGAATAATAGATAATAGAATATGATGAGGGCCACTCTAGAGATGCAAATAGCCATGAGACTTAAGGGCACCAAAGATCATCCAGTTAAGAATAAGATATGTCTTCAGGAGAAAATGTCATTGACAATGGATCTTGAAAGACAAGGGGCCACTGCACATATACACCATGGAATACTATGCAGCCATAAAAAAGGATGAGTTCATGTCCTTTGTAGGGACATGGATGAAGCTGGAAACCATCATTCTGAGCAAACTGTCGCAAGGACAGAAAACCAAACACCGCATGTTCTCATTCATAGGTGGGAATTGAACAATGAGAACACTTGGACACAGGATGGGGAACATCACACACCATGGCCTGTCGTGGGGTTGGGGGAGTGGGGAGGGATAGCATTAGGAGATATACCTAATGTAAATGACGAGTTAATGGGCACACCAACATGGCACATGTATACATATGTAACAAACCTGCACGTTGTGCACATGTACCCTACAACTTAAAGTATAATAATAATAATAATAAATAAATTAAATTAAACTAAATAAAAAGAAAGACAAAGGGCCTCTGACAGGCAGAGATGACTGAGAAAGATATGAGTAGAAAGGGACATACTTTTGAAATCGCACTGTTTGCATGGTTTGTGAAAAGCAGAGGAAGGAGTAAATGTGGAAAATCAGATTGAGACCTTGTTCAGAGTCTGAAATGGCAGAAAAGAAGTCCCACACCTACTATCATTGGCAAAAGGGAGTTAGTATGGGGTTTTGAGTAAGGAAATAACATCAACGTGTTGCATTTTAGAAAGAAAAAAGTAGAATAAATACACATGGTGGCCTAGTGGAAAAGGAAGACATCGTATGGGCAATCAGTAAAGAGGCTGTCACAGCAACCCTAGGCCTGAAGCTTCATCACTCTGCCTAATTGGAAGAATTTCCTTTTTGCTTAGTCCCGGGGATCCTTTCTTTGTTTTCTTCCCTACACCTATGTTCTAAGCTATAATAACTATAAGCTTGTATTCATTAGGTGACCTGAGGAAGTTCATTTTTGTCCAGTATTTGGAAATATTCCTTAGTATGACCAAGGGGAGTCCTAATACATAACCTTGCTTGACAGTTAAAAAAAGATTCTTAAAGATGAGGTAATCAATAAGCAAAGGAAAGAAGTAATTTCTAGTACTTGGAATAAGCAATATGGGGATTTATCTTCCCAGGAATTACTCAATCTCTCTCCACTACTGTACTTCCAGAACAATGCCATTATTCAAGCTGAACAGGCAAAAATCCAGGTTGCCACCTGACTTTTGATTTAACAAAGGTTACATGCAAGCTGTTCTGAACTGTTGAATTACATAGTTTATCACATCATCTAATGTTTTGAAAAAGATGTTTTATTATTAATTAAATTTAAAGTTTCAAGAGAAAATATCCTAATATACTTACTAAAACTATATTTAAACATTCCTGTAAGGTATATTATTGAAAAAAAAAAAAAAAAAAAAAAACTCCATCACATCCCATTTGAGTTTCCTTCAGTTATGTTTATAAGATACATTACTTGATTAATAAAACTGAAAACCATGCTTAACAACTCTGCATGTTGAAGGAAATGACCAAATGGCTATATTAAGATGTCTATGGAAAACATTCACATAAACTTACCCATAATTGAATTAGAAAACCATAAAAGGAAAAAGTCTAATTAATTGAATTACCCAAAATAAAAGGGGACATTTTTATCACTTCAAAATATAAAGAATATTCAGACTTTTCAAGTCTGAATTTATAATTGGTTTATAAACAATTAAAAATTCAAAGTACAAATTTCATTGGAGATTCATTAAACCAAATATATGTAAGAAATTAAAATTTATACTTAGATCAATTATTTTCAAAATAGCATAACTAAAGAGAAAACAAAATAGCTCACTTTGTAAATGTATCAGAGAAGTGTTTTAAATAGTTGAATAGAGGACGAGATACTTTTATAGTATTTTCTTCTCTCTTCCTTACCTGCCCTCTGCTGGTGAAAAGAGAAAAGTGAAAAGTAAAGAAGCTTCAAACAACATCCCGGAAAAGCACACTTTTATACAAAAAAAATTTAGTGTTATAACATTTTTCATTATACCAGATTAATTTGCCATCATATTATCCCACCACTCTTCTTGGAAGCAATATTCATACATTAAATGTTGCCTGTGAGTTAGGATTGGCGTAAAAAAAATTAGGAGGCTTTGGAAATATTTCACTATTTTAACAAAGTTTAGGTAAATGACCATGCTAAAATAAGAGTACAAACATCTAACAGACATCTAAAAATATTATGAAAGATATTTTATGTCATTTCTTTCTTTTTTTCTTTTTTGAAACTGAGTCTCACTCTTTGTTGCCCAGGCTGAAGTGCAGTGGCGCGATCTCGGCTCAGTGCGACCTCCGCCTCCTGCGTTCAAGCGATTCTCCTGTCTCAGCCTCCCGAGGAGCTGGGATTACGGGTGCCCACCACGATGGCTGGCTAATTTTTGTATTCTTAGTAGAGATGGGGTTTCACCACGTTGGCCAGGCTGGTCTCAAACTCCTGACCTCAGGTGGTCCACCCACCTTGGCCTCCCAAAGTGCTGGGATTACAGGCGTGAGGCACTGCGCCCAGCCATTTTATGTCATTTCTATCTTTACATTCTTATTGACCAAATAAGCATGGACTAGATGTGAGTTCCATTAGCACTAGTCATAATTGACTGAATGACCATGTCCAAAAGGGTCTAATGGATCACTGTGAGCCAAGATAGAAGTTAATAAGGATGGTCTACAGGGCTTCATCTTTAGTCCTCCCTGACCAACATTTTCACCAATGTTGAATATAAAATTAAGTAAATCCCAATCCATAAAGATTTCAACAGACTGGAAATTGAACAAATTGTACCAAAATAAAACAGGAATTACTACATAGGTTCAAAATTTGCACAAGCATGAGGTTTGTAGTGGTACCATTTGTGAAAGAGACTCTGATATTTCAGTTAGCAGCAAACTCAAGAGTAAAGTGGGATGCAAATATCAAAAAATTGATAATAATTTATATCTTAGGTGCTTGATATGTGCCAAACCTACGTTGAGCAGTTCATATATGTTCTAAAACCCCAGTCTAAAACAAATTTGGATCAGTGATTGACTCATTTACTGCCCAGCTGTCATGCTAAAAAAGGAATGAGCTAGAATTCTTTTACTGGGGGAGAAGGATTAGGAAATGACTGTCTGTGTATTTTTCAGATTGTCCCAATACAAAACTTAATTTGTTACGTGCAGCATAAGTTTCAGTATTTTTATATTGTGCTTATTATAAAAGTACAGACTCACCGATTACACAATATGGCAGCCCTACATTTTAGGTAACTGGAACTTTTAGACCCACCTAGGGCCAATTTTTCCTTCTAAAGTTAATTTTTTTGAAATTTAATATACATACAGAAAAGTATACAATTCATATATATATATGAGCTATATATGTATATATGAGTCATATATACATATATATAGAGACAGATACATAGATATACATCTCAACAAACTTTTACAAAGTGAATACATCCAAGTAGCTACCACTAGATCAAGAAATAGAGTATAAAATCAGCAAAACAGAAGCCTCCCTCCCATCATCTTTCAATAATTATCTCCTCCCAGAAGAAACTATTCTGACTTCTACCACTATCAATTTGTTTTGCATGTTTTTGAATTTCAGGTAAGTGAAATTGCAGTATGTACTATCTAGTGTCTGGCTTCTGTCACTAAATTTGTGTTTGTGGGATTCATTCATGTTATTGTATATAAAGGTAGTTATTTCCTTACTACATAGTGTTCCATTGTATGTGTACTCTTGATAAATATATCATCCTACTGTCAATGAATATTTGGATTGTTTTGTTTTTGCATCTTAAGGAATATGCAAGGAGGAAAAAATCTGTGTCATAGGATTTGCATATGTTCAATTTTAGTAAATATTTCCATCATTTTCCAAAATGTTAGTACCAATTCATAATTTACAATCTACCAAGAGCATATGGGAGTTCTAGTTGTTCCACCTCTAAGACAATACTATGTATTATCAGGGATTTTGTTTTAATGTCAGTCATTGTGGTAAGTAGAAGTATTTTGTAGTTTAAAATTATATTTTCTGATAATTAATAATTTTGAGTACATTTTCATATGTTTATTGGCCAACTGAATGTATTCATTTGTGAAGTACCAGTTCAATTTATCTGCTCATTTTTCTGTTATCTCGTATGTTACCTCTTATTGATTTTTAGGAGTTCTTCATATATTCTGGATATAAGTTCTTCATCAGACATAGTATATTGCAAATATCTTCTTTCTCTCTGTAAGTTGACTTTTCACTTATATTAATAGTATCATTTGATGAAAAGTTCTTAATTTTAATGAAGTCTGATTTATTCATATTTTCCTTTATAGTCAAGTGCTTTTGTAGCCTGTTAGAAATCTATAAGCATCTTAAGAGCAAAATCTGAACTTTATTCTCTAGTATCTTGGCCTCTCTAGTCGTGGCTACTAATCTTGAGCCATGATTAAGATTAAGAGGAAGAAAGCAGGAAATATTTGACAAGGTCTTCGAATATTTGAAATGCTCATGGGGTGAAAACATTAGACTTGCTCTGCATAGTCTCATGAAAGGAATAAGACCCTAGGCTGGAAAGTAAAAGGATGAAGATATACTCTCAACATAAAACAGTATGTCTGGCTGTCCGCAGTGGCTTACGCCTGTAATCCCAGTACTTTGGGAGGCTGAGGCAGGCAGACCACGAGGTCAGGAGATGGAGACCATCCTAGCCAACATGGTGAAACCCTGTCTCTACTAAAAAAAAAAAAAAAAAAAAAAAATTAGCTGGGCATGGTGGTGCATGCCTGTAATCCCAGCTATTAGGGAGGCTGAGGCAGGAGAATCACTTGAACCAGGGAGTCGGAGGTTGCAGTGAACCAAGATGGTGCCACTGCACTCCAGCCTGGCAACAGAGTGAGACTCTGTCTCAAGAAAACAAACAAACAAGCAAACAAAAGCAGAATGTCTGAATAGTCCAATGATGAAATGAAATTGTGTTCTTCCTAATATTGGAAGTGTTAAAGTACAGATGAATGAACAGTTTGTTGGAGATTGAAAGTTTAACAGATAACCTTTAAGCTAATTCATCTGGCTTTAAAGATGTGACTACAGCATGTGATGTGGGACAGTATAGTTGCCTTACATGCTATCAGCTTAAGGATTGCTTGAGGCCAGGAATTCAAGACCAGCCTGGGCAAGATGGGAAGACCCTGGCTTTACAAACAAACAAACAAATTAATGAATTAATTAAAAACGAGTTACGGTTGAAGTCTCATAATATCCTTATTTTTTCTTAATAGAGTACGTGAACCTATATAAACCCTTATTTACAACTATATTTTCAATCTCCATGACTTCTACTTCTTAAATAATACAGTAATTCTCTTTACTTAAAATTTTTCTTTTGAAAATTTTTAAGGGAAGATCTCTATTTCTAATATTCCAGGATTTATCAAAAAAGATTATATTTATCCTAAACATATCTTTCAAGATTTAACTCCAACCATTTTGCCTTTCTACCTTCATCTATTCAGAAGAAAAATTATGTATCTGTTAGTTCCTGCAACAGCAAAATCCTTCAATTCTGTTTACTCTAAAATTTCATTCCCTATATGTTTTCCTATAGCTGTATATATTTCTTTTTAAAATTTTTTTGTGGGTACATAGTAAGTGTATATACTTATAGAGTACATTAGATATTTTGGTACAGGCATGGAATGTATAATAATCATATTATGGAAAATAGGGTATCAATCCTCTCAAGCATTTATCCTTTGTGTTACAAACAATCCAATTATGCCCTTAGTTATTTTAAAATGTACAATTAAATTATTATTGACTATAGTCTCCCTATTGTGCTATCAAATGCTAGGTCTTATTCATTCTTTCTAATTTTTTTTTTTTTTTTTGCACCCATAAACCATTGCCACCTTCCCGCTTCCCAGCCTCTGGTAACCGCCATTCTATTCTCCGTCTCCCTGAGTTCAATCGTTTTGATTTTTAGATCCCACAAATAAATGAGAATGTGATGTTTGTATTTCTGTGCCTGACTTATTTCACTTAACATAATGACCTTTAGTTCCAACAATGTTGTCACAAATGACTGAATCTCGTTTTTTATGGCTGAATAGTGCTCCATTGTGAATAAGTAACACAATTTCTTTATCCATTCATCTGTTGATGGACACTTAGGTTGCTTCCAAATCTTAGCTATTGTGAACAATGATGCAACAAATATAGGAGTGCAGCTATCTCTTTGATACATTAATTTCCTTTCTTTTGGGTATATACCTACCAGTGGGATTGCTGGATCATATGTTAGTTTTAAGTTTTTTGAGGAACCTCCAAACCATTCTCCATAGTGGTTTTACTAATTTTCATTCCAACTGATAGAATACAAGAGTTCCCTTTTCTCCACATCCTTGCCAGCATTTGTTACTGCCTGTCTTTTGGATAAAAGCCATTTTAACTGGGGTGAGATGATATCTCATTGTCTAATTTTTATTTGCATTTCACTGGTGATCAGTGATGCTGAGCACTTTTTCATATGCCTGTTTGCCATTTGTATGTCTTCTTTTGAGAAATGTCTATTCAAATCTTTGCCCATTTTTAAATCAGATTAGATTTTTTCCTATAGAGTTAAGCTCCATACATATTATGGTTATTAATTTTTTGTCAGATTAATAGTTTGTAAATATTTTCTCCCGTTCTGTGGGTTATCTCATCTCTTCACTTTGTTGCTTCCTTTGCTCTGCAGAAGCTTTGTAACTTGATGTGATCCCATTTGTCTATTTTTGCTTTGGTTGCCTATGCTTATGGGGTATTGCTCAAGAAATTTTTGACCAGACCAAACTCCTGGAGATTTTCCCCAATGTTTTCTTGGAGTAGTTTCATAGTTTGAGGTCTTAGATTTAAGTATTTAATCCATTTTTATTTGATTCTTGTATATGGCAAGAGATAGGGGTCTAGTTTCATTCTTTTGCATATGCTTATACAGTTTTCCCAGTACCAATTATTGAATAGTCTTTTCCTCAGTGTACGTTCCTGGAACCTTGTCAACAATGAGTTCACTGTAGATGTGTGGATTTGTCTGTGAGTTCTCTTTTCTGGGTTTTCTGTTCTATTGGTCTATGTGTCTGTTTTTATGCCAGTATCACGCTGTTTTGGTTACTATAGCTCTGTAGTATAATTTGAAGTCAGGTAATGTGATTCCTCCAGTTTTGTTGTTTGCTCAAGATAGCCTTGGCTATTTTGGGTCTTTTGTGATTCCACATAAATTTTAGGATTCTTCCAATCCGTAAACATGGAATATCTTTCCATTTTTTGGTGCCTTGTTCAATTTCATCAGTGTTTTGTAGTTTTCATTGTAGAGATCTTTAACTTCTCTGGTTAATTCCTAGTTACTTTTTTGTGGCTATTTTAAATGGGATTACTTTTTTGAATTCTTTTTCAGATTGTTCACTGATGACATATAGAAATGCTATTGATTTTTGTATGCTATAATTTTACTGAATTTATCAGTTCTAATAGTTTTTTGGTGGAGTCTTTAGGTTTTTCCAAATATAAGATCATATCCTCTACAAACAAGGATTATTTGACTTCTTCCTTTCCTATGTGGATGCCCTTACTTTCTTTCTCTTGCCTGATTGCTCTAAGACTTCCAGTACTATTTTGAATAACAGTGGTGAAAGTGGGCATCTTTGTCATGTTCCAGATCTAAGAGAAAAGCCTTTCAGTTTTTCTCCATTCAGTTTGACACTATCTGTCGGTCTGTTGTATGTGGCTTTTATTATGTTGAGGTATATTCTTTCTATACCAAGATTTTTAGAGTTTTTGTAATAAAGGGATGCTGAATTTTATCAAATGCTCTTTCAGCATCAATTGAAATGATCATATGCTTTTTGTCCTTCGTTCTGTTGATATGATGTATCACATTGATTGATTTGCCTATGTTGAACCATCTTTGCATCCCTGGGATAAATTCCACTTGGTCATGATGAGTGAGCTTTGAATGTATCATTGAATTTGGTTGCTGGTTTATTGAGGATATTTGCAGCAATATTTGCAAGAGATATTAGCCTGTAGTTTTCTTTTTTGATGTGTCTCTGTCTGGTTTTGGTATCAGGGTAATACTGGCCTCACAGAATTAGTTTAGAAGTATTCTCTCTTTGTCCATTTTTTGGAGCAGTTTGAGTAGGATTGGTATTAGTTCTTCTTTAAATGTTTGGTAGATTTCAGCAGTGATGCTATTGGGTCCCAGGATCTTCCTCACTGGGAGACTTCTCGTTACGGCTTCCAACTCTTTACTTGTTATTGGTCTGTTCAGGTTTTGGATTTCTTCATGGCTCAATCTTGGTAGGCTGTATGTGTCTAGGAATTTATTCATTTCTTCCAGATTTTCCAATTTATTGGAACATAGTTGCTCATAGTAGCCACTAATGATCATTGAATTTCTATGGTATCAGCTGTAATGTCTCTTATTTTGTTTATTCATCTATTTTATTTATTTGGGTCCTCTATTTTTCTTAGTCTGGCTAAAGTTTTGTCAATTTTGTTTATCTTTTCAATAAACCAACTTTTGTTTCATTGATCTTTTGTATTGTTTTATTTCAAATCCATTTATTTCTGCTCTGTTTCTTATTATTTCTTTTCTTCTTCTAATTTTGAGTTTGGTTTGCTTTAGCTTTCCTAGTTCTCTAAGATGCATCATTGGGTTATTTGAATTTTTATTCATTTTTGATGTAGGCACTTGTAGCTCTAAATTTCCCTCTTAGTACTGCTTTTGCTGTATTCCATAGGTTTTGGTATGTTGTGTTTCCATTATTATTTGTTTCAATAAATTTTTCAACTTCCTTCTTAATTTCTTCACTGACCCACTGGGCATTCAGGAGCATATTGTTTAATTTCCAAGTGTCTATATAGTCCAAAATTCCTTTTATTATTGATTTCTAGTTTTATTCCATTTTGGTCAGAGAAGATGCTTGATATTACTTCCATTTTTTTCAATGCTTTGAGGCTTGCTTTGTGACCTAACATATGGTCTATTATTAAGAATGATCCATGTACTGAGGAGAAAAATGTATATTCTGCAGACATTGGATGAAATGTTCTGTAAATATCTATTAGGTCCATTTGTTCTACAGTGCAAATTAAGTCCAATGTTTCTTTGTTGATTTTCTGTGTGGGAGATCTGTCCAATGCTGAAAGTGGGGTGTTGAAGTCTCTATTTATTATTATATTGGGGTTTCTATTTATTATTATATTGGGGTATATCTATCTCTCTCTTTAGCTCTAATAATATTTGCTTTATATATCTGGGTAATTTGGTAGATTTCAGCAGCGATGCTATTAATATATATTGTAAATATATATGCACGTGTTAGGTGCATATATATTTACAATCATTATGTCCTCTTGCTGAATTAATCCCTTTATCATCATATAGTGATCTTGTCTCCTCTTACAGTTTTTGTCTTGAAATCTATTTTTGTCTGATATAAGTATGGCTACTCCTGCTCTATTTTGGTTTCCATTGGTATGGAATATCTTTTTCCATTCTTTTATTTTCAGTCTATGTGTATCTTTATAGGTGAAGTGTGTTTCTTGTAGACAACAGATCACTGGGTCTTGTTTTTTTCAGCCACTCTATGTCTATTGATTGGAGAATTTAGTCTATTTACATTCAATGTTATTATTGATATGTAGGGACTTACCCTTGCAATTTCATTATTTGTTTTCTGGTTGTTTTACAGTCTTCTCTTCCTTCTTTCCTTCCTGTCTTCCTTTCAGTGAAGGTGATTTTCTCTAGTGGTATGCTTTAATTTCTTGCTTTTTATTTTTTGTGTATTGTTGTATGTTTTTCTATTTGAAGTTACCATAAGGCTTGCCAATACTATCTTATAGCCCATTGTCCATTATTTTAAATTGATGACAACTTAACACTGATTGCATTAAAAAAACACTGCCTTTTAACTTTTAGTTGTTTCTTTATGTCTTATTTTACTGTCTAGGCCTTGAAAAGTAGTTGTCATTATTAGTTTCCATTAGTTCATCATTTAGTCTTTCTATAGAAGTCAAGAGAAGTTTACATACCACAATTATATGTCATACTATTCTTTGTGTTTCTGTGTGCTTGCTATTACCAGTAAGTTTTGTACCTTTAGGTGATTTCTTCTTGCTCATTAACATCCTTTTTTTTACAGAGTGAAGAACCCCCTTTAGCATTTCTCGTAGGACAGGTCTGGTGTTGGTGATATCTCTCAGCTTGTGTTCGTCTGGGAAGCTCTTTATTTCTCCTTCATGCTTAAAGGATATTTTTGCTAGATATACTATTTAGAATAAAAGTTTTGTTCCTTCAGCACTTTAAATATGTTCTGCCATGCTCTCCTGGCCTATAAGATTTCCACTGAAAAGTCTGCTGCCAAACATATTGGAGCTCCATTATACGTAATTCACTTCTTTTCTCTTGCTGCTTTTAGGATCCTTTTTTATCCTTGACCTTTGGGAGTCTGATTATTAAATGCCTTGAGCTAGTCTTCTTTGGCTTAAATCTGCTTGGTGTTCTATAACTTTATTGTACTTGAATGTTGATATGTTTCTCTAGGTTTCAGAAAATCTCTGATATTATCTAATTGAATAAACTTTCTACTTGTATCTCTTTCTCTACCTCATCTTTAAGGCCATTAACTCTTAGATTTGCCCTTTTGAGGCTATTTTCTAGATCCTATAGGCATGCTTCGTTTTTTTATATTTTATTTTTCTTTTGTCTCCTCTGACTGTGTATTTTCAAATAACCTGTCTTCAGGCTCACTCATTCTTTCTTCTGCTTGATCCTTTTTGCTATTAAGAGACTCTGATGCATTCTTCAGCATGTCAATTGTATTTTTCAACTCTAAATTTTCTTGATTCTTTTTAATTATTTCGATCTCTTTGTTAAATTTATCTGATACAATTCTGAATTCCTTCTCTGTGCTATCTTGAATTTCTTTGAGTTTCCTCTAAACAGCCCTTTTGAATTGTCTCAAAGGTTACATGTCTGCTTCTAGGCACTAGGACTGGTCCCTAGTGCCTTATTTAGTTCATTTGGTGAGGTCATGTTTTCTAGGATGTTGTTGATGCTTACAGATGTTTATATATGTTTCCTGGATGTTGTTTATAGATGTTTCCTGGATGTTGTTGATGCTTACAGATGCATAAATAAGGCACTAGGATTGGTCTCTAGTGTCTTATTTAGTTCATTTGGTGAGGTCATGTTTTCCTGGAAGTTGTTGATGCTTATAGATGTTTGTCAGCATTTGGGTATTGAAGAGTTAGGTATATTTATTGCAGTCCTCATTGTCTGGGCTTGTTTATGCCTGTCCTTCTTGTGAAGGCTTTCCAGGTATTTTGAGGGAATTGGGCCCAAAGCCCAATAATGCTGTGGTTTTTGCAGACTCATAGAGGTACCACCTTGGTGGTCTTGGATAAGATCTGGAAGAAGTGTCTGGATTACCAGGCAGAGACTGTTAGTCTTTTCACTTTCTCCCAAACAAATGGAATCTCTCTCTCTGTGCTGAGCCACCTGGAACTGGGAATGTGGTGATATAAGCATCCCTGTGGCCACCACCACTGGGACGGTGTGGGGTCAGATGAAGCCAGCACAGCCGTTCATCCTTGCCTAAGGCCTTTCCCTTCAGAGTGGTGAGTTCTCCCAGGCTGTGGGCAAGTCCAGAGATGCGGTCTGGGACCTAGGGATCGGAGTCAAAAAACCTTGGCAATTTACCTGATGTTCTATTGTACTGTGGCTAAGCTGGCACTCAAACCATAATACAAAGTTCTTTCCACCTTTCTCTCCTCTCTCTATAGACACAGGAGACTCTCCCTGTGGCCACTAGCACCATTGGTCCCCAGGGAGTTCTGCCAGGCCACCGTGATGTTTAAAGCCCAAGGACTCTTCCACCCAGCTTGCGGTGAATGTTGCCAGGTCTGGGACTTCTCCTTCAGGTCAGCAAGCTCCTCTTCTGACCCAGGGCAGGTCTATAAATGCTGCCCAAGAGCCTAGGCCTGGACTCAGGGATCCCTGCTTAATTGCTCTGCCCCCGCTGTGATTGAGCTGTTGCCTAGGGTGCAAAACAAAGTCCCCTTTACCTTCCCCATCTGCTTTTCTCAAACAGAAAGAGTCTTTCACCATTCCCACCACAGTTAAGAACGTGTTGAGTCACCCCTGAAGCCAGCACATCTCACAGCCCAAGGCCCATGGCATTCTCCAAGGTTATCACTGGTGGTTATTCAGGGCCCAAGGGCTCTTTAGTCAGCAGGTGATGAATCCTACCAGGACTGGTCCTTCCCTTCAAGGCAGCAATTCCCTTGAAATATCAAGAAATATCATCCAGGAGTCAGGGCCTGGAATGGGATGCCTCACAACTCTCTCTGGTGCCCTATCCTACTGTGGTGGAGCTGGTATCCAAGATGCAAAACAAAGTCCCTTTTACTCTTTGCTCTCCTCTCCTCTAAGCAGAAGGAAGGACTCACTTTTGTTGCTGTGAGCTGTGCGGCCTGGGGTTGGGGAAGGGATGGCTCAAGCACTCCCTTAACTGCACCAGCTGGTGTCTTCCTAGGTCAGGTGCCACCATAGTTCACTGGCTCTAAGCCCAGCCTAGCACTAGGAGTTGCCTAGGAATTGCAGTCCTGTGCCCTAGACAGCCTTTCTAGTATACCTAGATCCCAGGGCACTTAAGCCCACTGTGGCAAGGCTTGCCGAGAAACTAACATTCCAAAAGCTGGGATGGTGATTCGCCTCTGGCTAGGGCTGGTCCAAATGCTCCCTCCCTGTGCGGGCACTGGCTGAGCCCAGCATGGCTTTATTCTCTGCTGTGACAGGGCAGCACTGAGTTCAATGTAAAGTTCCCCATTTGCTGTGCTCTTCCCTCCCCAAAGCACACAAATTCTCTCCCTGCACCACACTGGCTGCTGCTGGGGGATGAGGGAGGGGTGGCATCGGCAATTCAAGACTGCCTTCCTCAATGTCTCTTTCCACAATATGAAGTTAAAATCAGGTACTGTGATTGCTCACCTGATTTTCAGTTCTTGTGATGGTGCTTTTCTGTGTGAAGATAGTTGTTAAAATTCGGTATTCCAGTGAGGGGGTTGAACGGCATAGGCTTCTATTCTACCACCTTCCTCTGCCCTCATATAGTTTTTGAAGTTCAGGATTGGCAACTGAACAGTAGAGATAAACAGACCTAGTTTAAATCCCATCTCTACCATTTACTAAAATATGTTATTTAAACTTTCTAGGGCAAAGTGTTCTCATCTATAAATTGGAGATAATAATATTATCTACTCTATTCGCTGTTGTGAGGATTAAATGAGATATTGGCCACAAAATATTTAACATAGTGCATGGCTGATAGTATATACTTCCTTTTTAAAGAAAATATATAAGCCAGGCACGGTGGCTCACATCTGTAATTCCTGTGCTGTGAAAAGCCGAGGCAGAAGGATCGCCTAAGCCTAGGAGTTTAAGGTTACAGTGAGCTACAAGAGTGCCACTGCACTATTATAGCTTGGCCAACAGAGCAAGATCCTGTCTACAAAAGGAAAAATAAAAGAAAACATACAATGGAATATTATTCAGCCATAAAAAGGAATCAGGTTCTGATACATGCTACAATATGGATGAACCTTGAAAACATTATGCTAAGTGACACAGATCAGACATGAAAGGACGAATATTATATGATTCCACCTATAGGAGTACCTACAACAGGCAAATTCATAGAGACAGAGAGAGTAGAGGTTACCAAGGGATAAGGGTAAAGGGGAATGGGGAGTTTCTGTTCAATAGATACAAAGTTTCTGTTTGACATGATGAAAAAGTTCTGGAAACGGATGATACTGATGGCTGTACAATATTGTGAATATACTTAATACCACTGAAATATATTTAATGCCACTAGAATTGTTATAATGGTAAATTTTATGTTATGTATATTTCACCACAATAAAGATAAAATTAAAAATGTTTTAAACGTGAACCATCATTTTTAACTTCGAAAAATCTGTAGGGAAAGCCTACACTCTCATAAGATCATGTCCCCACAATTATAATTTGAATTATTTCTAGTCATACACCTTATCTTATACTTAGCCATACCAAAGTTCAACTCTCTTCTTTCTGTTCTCTCTCCTGGCCTCTCAGACTTTTAAAATCTCTTTGTTAATTTTTTTTACATGTAAAAATCACTTGTTTAATACAATTGTGAACTCAGAGATTTAATATAAGTGCTCCATCTGTAAACATTTTAGATTAATGTCAGTACCTCTTACTGAGGAAGCCAACTACCGGTTTTCTTTTTTAAAAAGCAACAGTTCCAACTCTTCATTCCTGGTTTCTTAGTCAATTTCTAGATAAAATAAAGCATTTCCTCCAATCTTATAGTGTATCTTTTTAAGACACAGTTCGCAGGGGATGTGTGTGTGCTGGGATGTGTGTGGGGATAATAGGGTACAGCAGGGAAAAAGGGAGACTTTGTCAAAGGTATTTTTTCTAATGTTAATGAGTTACATCTAATTGTTCCTCTTTTTTTTTCAAATAGCTATTTATCATTTTATTAAACCAAACCTGATCGGTTGGCATGATTTCCCATTACGTAAATCATACTGTTCACCTCCAAATAGACTGTGTTTGTTTAAATGTTCAACAATTATACCATTCATTACAAATTCTATCCACTTCCCTGACCTTGAAGTAAAAATGGGCAATCTGTAACCAACAAGGACCTCCACTGGAATGCCTTGTGTGGATTGATTACACAGAAGTTATTTGTAATGATAAGATGTACATTTCAGTCAGCCAATGGTAGAATATTAATGTGTGCTTGGAAAAATAAAGTTATTTGTGAATATCATCTTGCTAAATAATTTTATTTCTTAATCTTCTTTTGTGTTTCCAATTTCTACCCAGACATTTTATAGTACATTCTTATTACTGTAGAGTATATATTTTTAATCCTGGATGTACATGTAATTTGTTTCACAAAAACTACATATTACTTTCAGTACTTAAAGAGCTCCTGAAAAGCTAGAGGTAAAACCCGTAATACTCTGGAATAAAGAAAATACATGCTCTTTCGTGGAACCTAGTATTCTGTTATCAAAAAGTATTCAAATTTTCTAATTTTGCAATTTTTACTATCAGAAAAAAATGTGAAGCATTAAACTTATTTCTATTCAAAGGCATACAATCTAAAATTTCCACTAGAAATCCTTGGGCCAGAAGTTCACAAGACTGATTACAAATATTTATCTATGTTCAACTTTAGAATACTGTCCATGAAAAGAATAGAGTGTAAGAACAACCGAACCCGATCACAAGATGCATTCATCATACAGATTTACTGTATTGTACTACCCATTTACGTGAGCAGTTGAGGCACTTCATAGTAAGGAAAGAAATAATTGAGTAAATCCTCTTGGTCTTATAAAAAAAAAAAAGAGGACAGTGTACTGTGGTACTTAAAAAATTGGATCATGGGTCTGGTTTAAGTCAGGTTTCCTGGGAAAGCATGAGATGAGTTTTCTTGTCCAAGTGATTTACTGGGCTGTACTCTCAAAAGAAGAAAAGTGAAGGAAGTAGGATAGGTCAGGAGAGGCAAGAATGTGGCTCAGTTAGAGACTAGTTTCAGTTTGATCCCACAGGAATGCTCTGGAGCACAAATTGCGCCACAGAATTAGCCCTACCTTGAAGCAAGTGGCTAGCCCTTTGTAACTCTCTATCATTGAGTCATTGGTCAGGATCTGCTGGTAGGAATTGGAAGAAACATAGTCTCTCAGAAGAGAGTAACTCTCTGAATTATCAGCCCACAGTCATATGAGCTGGAGGATGAAATGGACAGCAGGGTAAGGTAGATATAGCCACACATCATCTTCTACAGAGTTTCATTGTTCTGGCTTTTAATCACCACATAGCTATTACCTATGTGACACCTGGCAAGTATTTAAGTTCTCTGCTCTTGGGTTCCTTATCTATAAAATTGAGGAGAATAACCCTTGTTTCTCAAGGTTATTTCAAGGATAAAAAGAAAATAATGCATATACAGCACTAAGGCTGGTGCTGATAAATGTGCTCAGTAAATAGATGCTTTAAAAAATGCTAAATGGCTAGAAGGCAAGAATGATTTAATGAATGATATGGTTTCTTTCAATAAGACATTGTCCTTGGCGAAACTCCACAAGTAAGGAAATATTTTTGGGTCCCCTTCCAGCAGAGCATGACACAATAAAGACATTGTTGCCTATTTTTACAGATGTCTGTGCAATTGCCTAGTCTCCAGCAACTCAGTGGTGGTACTTAGTGAAAAAGCCCAAGTGGTGGGGTGAGTATGTGATTCTCATGAGAGCAGCAGCCATGCCAAAAAGATATGGAAGAACTTGCAGAAGTCATATCACTTAGCATAAGGGAACTAGAATGGAAAGAAAGAGAAAAATGGTTGAACCCTTGCAGTAGCTGACCAAACTTGTTTGTGAGGATATGAGACACTTGGTGGTGGTGGTTGGGCAGGCAGTAGAGGGTTAATACACAAGACTAAGATCCTATAACAGTAAAGAGGGTTGATGGTGTGCTAAAGGAGAATAGCAATAGGTACCTAAGGACCACGGCTTTGTCATTTTTATTCATGTGATGTATATTAGACTAGGTTAAAGATACAAGTACAGGTCTAGGGGTGACATCTGTGATTGGCATTAACTTGGGCCAGCTTGCCTAGAGCACTATTCCAGGGTATTAAAATATAACAGGGACTAAAACACAAATGCCTGCTACATGAGCTTATACTTAGCAGAAAATAAACATAATATATAAGCAAATAATACACTGTAATATGTTAGAAGGTCGTAACCACTATGAATTTTGAAAGTATGTAGAGTAGGGTAAGGTGTGCTGGAGAGTGAAGGTGGTAACCACTATGAATTTTGAAAGTATATAGAGTAGGGTAAGGCGCGGGTAAAGGAGCACTTTGCTGTATTAAATAGGATAGGCATGATAGGCCTTACTGAGAAGGTAAGAGTTAAGCAGACACATGGAGAAGGTAAACCAATTAGTCTAGTGAAGATCACCGGGAGAGCATTTCAGACAGAAGGAACAGCTACACCAAAGGACTTAAAATAGGAGAGAATCTAGCATGTTTAAGGAAAAGAGAAAGAGGAGTGAGCAAGGTGGAGAGTGGTATGAAATGAGGTCACAAGGGTAACAAGAAGAGGAATGAGTGAAACAGGGGGATTAAAAGTAGAGGAATGCTTTGCATGGTTGTTGCTGACCCTCCTTTTGCAGCCTGGCTCCTGCTCTCCATACCTGCCAGATTGGAAGAAGCCACCACTGTTCACTTCTTGAGTGTCATCTATTGCCTGCAATTACCTTTTGTTGTGCCTTTCCTGGAACAAACTTAGCACTCTCTCCCCCATCTCCTACAGCTAACTCCTGCTTAACTTTGGGATATTCTTAGGATTTTCCTACAACTAGGATATTTTTCTTCTTCGCCTTTTCACCTCACCCCTTTCTACCTCACCTTCACCACCATGACCACCACCACCCTCACACCCTCCCCTGATCCAAGAGCCTTTTTTTTTTAAGAGACAGGATCTAGCTCTGTCACTCAGGCTGGAGTGCAGTGGCACAATCATAGCTTACTGTAACCTCGAACTCCAGAGCTAAAGTGATCCTTCTGCCTCAGCCTCCCAGTGGGCTGAGATTACAGACGTGAGCCACCGCATCCAGCCCCAAGAGTCTTCTTCTGTTGTATGCATTCCCATGCTACTGAGTGGATCCTGCCATCCGACTCTTAAGGCCATTCCCATTAAAATGTAATTAAGCTTAACAAGGCTTGTATGTTTCTTATAGGTATCTTCGACCAGCACATAACAACTCAGCTTTGTTATCTAAAAAAATAGAGAATTTTATGGAATGACTATATTCTGAAAGACGATGTTTAAAGAATAGTAAAGACATTTACAACACAATATTCCTTCTTTGTCTTTCTCAAAGCCTAGTTTGGTGTCAAGAAATATTTGTTGAACAATTGTGGAACAAAAGAGACCTGGTTGCAAATCCAAGCCAAACATAGTGATTCTTGGCAAGGTAATCAAACTTCCTGAACCTGTTAGGCTGCAAAATCAGCCTAACACGTAATTCTCAGGGTGATTTTCAGACTTAAATAAAATAGCATGAAAAGGCCCCACATTTTATAGGTGCTTAATGATCATTCCATTTCCATCTTAAATATGCTTTCCTCTTCGTGTTGCTGCTTTCAGTTTACCTTGCTCACAATACTCAGCAAGAACCTATGAAGCTTCAGAAAATCTATTCTTTAGCTCATTACAGTTTAATAAATCACATAAGTCTGTTCAACTTGGCTACAAGAACATAAGAAAAGGGTTGGCCATAAAGTCAAGTCAGAGCAAGGAGATAGCTGCTTCTCTTTCCCAAAATATAATAAATACCATTCAATTATCCCCTTTTTGAAGATGTTTGTTATCCACATAACAAATTATGAGAGACATGTTTCTAAAATTTTTCTTGGATGTCAAAAACACCCTATCTATATTACTGTTTTATTTTCACGTGACAATTCCAAACATGGTTTTAAACCAAATACATGCAGGTTATAATTAGCTTAAATTACTGTGTACATGTAAATAAACATAAACTATTCTAAATAAAAATGATATATGCCAGAGGTTTCATTTTCTTCAGGTTCATAAAAACTGTTTTAAGAGCATTCTATGGCAGCAATAACTGCATAAATCTATTGTCTAGAGTTAAGCTGACATTTTCTACAACCTTGAAACACTGAAAAATGAAAGCTATTTTGACATGGTAGTAAACAATCAAGTCTACTAAAGACAAATAATCATCACATTTTGTTTATTTATAAAACATTGTAGAAATGTTAAAATTGGTGCCTCACTTCCTGGTAGACCCTCGCCATCTAACAACTCCTGGGTCTGTAGAGGCAAGTGACCTCAGGCCAAGCCCTGCAGGTCAGACTCCATCATGGGTCCCAGAATGGGTGGAAGTGGCTTCTCCAATATTGGCTGTTAGGAAGGCTGCAGGCAGAACTTCTAGGCCTATGAGTGACCAGCTAGTGGCACAAGGTTGGAACTGGATGCCCTTTTCCCTTGCTCCTGCTCACCAGACCCTGTAGTTTACAGGTTTTTATTACCCACTTCCCCTTACTGTTGCCCCTGGATCCTTGGGTTCAGAACATCTCTACTGCTTTGTGCTTACAGCAGTAAAATATAGTGCAGTGAAAAATAATGTGGAGGCCGGGCGCGGTGGCTCACGCCTGTAATCCCAGCACTTTGGGAGGCCGAGGCGGGTGGATCACGAGGTCAGGAGATCAAGACCATCCCGGCTAAAACGGTGAAACCCCGTCTCTACTAAAAATACAAAAAATTAGCCGGGCGTAGTGGCGGGCGCCTGTAGTCCCAGCTACTTGGGAGGCTGAGGCAGGAGAATGGCGTGAACCCGGGAGGCGGAGCTTGCAGTGAGCCGAGATCCCGCCACTGCACTCCAGCCTGGGCGACAGAGCGAGACTCCGTCTCAAAAAAAAAAAAAAAAAAAAAGAAAAATAATGTGGAACCTTTGAATTAGAATATCAGGCCTTTCAGTTCCATTGAAGGGTCCTTGATTTAGGGCAAGTTGTTTTAATCTATCCAAACTTCTGTGCCTTCACCTGTTGATATGGTTTAAGCTCTGTGTCCCCACCCACATATCATCTTGTAGCCCCCATAATTCCCACATATTGTGGAAGGGACCCTGTGGGAGATAACTGAATCATGGGGGTGGGTTTTTCCCATGCTGTTTTCCTGATAGTAATAAGTCTCACAAGATCTGATGGTTTTAAAAAAGGGAATTTCCCTGCATAAGCTCTTTGCCTGCTGCCATCCATGTAAGATGTGACTTGCTCCTCCTTGCCTTCCACCATGAATGTGAGGCCTCCCCAGCCATGTGGAACTGTAAGTCCATTAAACCTCTTTTTCTGCCCTGTCTCAGGTATGTCTTTATCAGCTGCACGAAAATGAACTAATACATCTGTAAAATGGAGTTTATAGCCCCACCTGTCACTGAGTTGTTTGTGATAAATTGACACAGTTCACATCTCTCCCAAAATGGAATATGCCCTTTAAGTTGGGAAAGGCATCCTATTACTGACAGAATATCAGGAATATCATCAAATCTTGATGAATAAAATAAAGTAGATATAACACATCTCTAGAAAGATTACTTATACTATTTATACCCTGGTATTTGAAGTACTTTTTATTTAGAACAGTAGTAAAAATGGATAAAGAAAGTGAATGATGATGGAAAACCAGACCAAGAGAATTCCTTGGACTTTTTTGAATACCTTAATCAAATTGAATTGTTAGAAATACAAGAATACCTTATTCCCACTGGTACTCAAAGTCTCTGAATAGGCAACTCTGATGAAGATGAGGAGCAAGATGAAAAAAACAAAGAGTGCTATGAATTGCAAGAAAAAAATGTGTGAAAAGATCTAAGTAAATTGCTTATTTGGGCTACTGAAATAAATCCACTTTTTAATAGGAGCACACCATAACCCACCAGACGTCTGTAGAAAAAACTGAAAATCATGAACTGAAGGCATGTTTCTAGCCTTACTATAGTGCAAAGACTACTTTCTGAGAAAGCCAATCATGTGAACACTAGGGACAAAGATGAATATACCCTTCTTCATCGAGCAGTCTACAATGGACACTTAGATATCATCCATGAGGTAACCGCACAAGGGGCAGATGTTCATGCAGTGACTGTGGATAGCTGGATACCCCTGTACAACACCTGTAAGTGTAATAACACCAGAGTGGCTTCTTTCTTCCTCCCACATGATACAGCTATGCATGCCCAAACAAAAGGCCTCTGAACTCCATTGCATCTTGCTTCTGGGAACAAAGATAGCAAAGATACCCTAGAACTCCTCCTGATGAACCCTTACATCAAACCAGGTGTGAAAAACAACTTGGAAGAAACAACATTTGATATCACCAAGAGGAAAAGTATCTATTACTATCTCTTTAAAACTGTGGAAAGCTGTACAAATTTTTCACCTCAATCTTAACAGTTCTAGTAATTTTCATAAATTTTTGAGTACCAGTGCCTCCTTTGTGTGAGATGTAAAATATTCCCATTAAGCAAAGTCAAGCCTACTTGAGGGTGGAGGGTGAGAGGAGGGTGAGGGTTGAAAACTACCTATCAGGTATGACTACACTCAATTCCTAGGTGACAAAATTATCTGTATATCAAACCCCAGTGACATGCAATTTACCCATATAACAAACCTGCACACGTACCCCTGAGCTAAAATAAAAGTTGAAAAATTAAAGGAAAAAAAAAACAGCGTGGATAGAAACAAAAAGCATAAATATAAATATTCAAGAAAAATAAAGTATAGCAAAAACAAATTTTAAAAAATCAATGTTGCCTATTATAATATGAAAAAACAATAAAAAATGAATTAATTTTATTATAAGAAACACAATAATAGATTAATTTCAACAGAAAAATACTTGACATGAATCATATCTGTGAGTTTTAATTTCAAAAAATAACAACAAAATGTACATTACTTCCTGCATATAATTTATAATTACTCAGGGTAATGCATTTTATAAAATAGAGCTATAAAAATGTGTCAGAATTTCTAGTAACCAAGGGAACTAGCTTTCATAAAATATGGTATCTCAGAAACCATTGTTAAGACATTAAGAAACATTAAATGTTGAGTTTTAAAGTTGTAAATCTTTGCCTTGATGAGAAAATTTGTAATGTTAACATTTGTTTCAATTCTTCTGCAATTTAATTAACATTTATCCTAAAGTAAAGACATCTATACTGGCAGGTATCTAATGAAGTACAAATGGCCTGGCTCTATGTAAATCTAGGTTTAAGTCCCAGAGCTTTTTGACACAAGCTTGATCTCATATTCCCAACTATCAAATGCAAATAATCACATTTACCTCTCTCTATTTCTCAAAGGATTTACGAGGAAATCAGAAGTATATAATATGTATGAAAATACTTACAATTGTTTGAAAGGGTGACTTTACAAATTCAAATTAACCATGTGGTTTATTATTATTGGTATAATTAGAAAGAATAAGAGCAATAGCACGCATTTATTTAGTTTTATCATTAGGTAATGTATTGCCTATTATAATAAATGTATCATTCATGAGAATGTAAGGAAGTTATATGGAAGATCACTCACATGAGAAGGCTCAGTGTTAAATCTGTCTGTGGCTTTATTTCTATACTATAGTAGAGTGGCTGAGAAGAGAGCAGATTCTGGAGACAGACAGACCACCTGACTCGATTTCTGGTTCTACATTATTTAGTTGTGTGACCATGGTCAAATTTCTTAACTTCTCACTCTTAGTTTCTCATTTGCAAAATGGTAATAAACAAAAGTACCACTTTGATAGGGCTTTCATAAGAAAGACATGAATTTGTGGCAGTCACTGTTGGCTGCCTAATTCAAAACCCATTCTCAACCTTCTTTTCCTTTCTCCTGTTCCTCTATAAAGGCAGAAAAAAAATGTCATACCTGATTTCCCAGCCTCCCTTGCAACTAGGGGTGCTAAGTAATAGTGCCAGCAGAGGAGACCTAAGCAGAAATCTGTTGGAGCTTCTAGGAAAGCTTTGGCTTTCCTGATAAAAAGAGACAGATGTACCCAGGTCCATCCTTTCCTTCCTTTTTCTTGTCTTTAACACAAACATGCTTCCTGGACCTGGGAGTGACATCTTGCAACCAAGAGGATGAGGCCAAGAGAGCAATGTAGATGCTATGAGAAACCATTGTGTCACTGAACCAATGCCAGTTTCCAGACTCCTTTTAACATGAAAAGCAATGAACCATAGGTTTTTAAGTGACCAATATTAAATACTGTCACTTGTAGCTAAGAGTATTCCTTAACTGAGTTAACATATTTTGTAAAATGCTTGGAATTGTTCTTAGTCATTGTAAATGCTCAATACACTTTAGCTATTAGTATTATTTTCCAGTTAATGACATTTTGATATTACAATTGATATTATACTTGAGATTACAATTGAATTTGAATAAGTGATATATATTTGTCTAATTTATGTATTTTCTTATAATTTCAACATAGAGCTATGTTATTTAAAATTCATTGTATTTTATACACATGATAAATGATTCTCTCTTGTAGTGACTAATCTGTCTAAAAGTCCATTTTTTGCTATCTACTTTAATTCAAGAGCCCATTAAATCTGTTGAGTTCTTTTTGGTTTTCATCAATATATTAGAATTTTAAACTGTTCTATAGTGAAGAAAGTTTTGGAAGTGATGTTCTAAAATTTCATTAGTTATCTTTTAATCCATTTTTTAAAACTTATAATTTTGCAATGTTTTTAACACTAAAATGTTCATGCATTTATGTGTTATTGCTCTTCCCCAGCAGTCTATTAGGACTACAGTTTACAAAATTATAATGTTTTATTGGAGTAAAGGTTAGCATAGTCTTAAAACACTCTTCTACCATGCCTATATGCAATGTAGTAGGGTATACATTAAAAATCTAGGAAGATAAAAAATAAATGAGATAAAAGTAAATAAGTTCCCTAGTTATTCAAACAATAAACAGACATAAAATCAAAGAAAATTATTCCAGGAAACAAATCATTCAAATTGTGAATCTATATCTCACTCTCTACTTACATTCATTTTAGAGTTTAATTAGCACTCTTTACATTATGAAGTCCAAACTGATATTCTTAATTTCAATATTCGACCTCCTCCCCCACACAGATATTCCCTACTTTTCCACCCACTTTCCCCCAACGAAATAAATGCAACAATTCACCCAATTGCTCAGGCCTAAAATTTGGATGTCATCCCTGACCCCCCTTTCCCTATCATCCCACTTCCAATCCATCAGTGAATCTTAATTGCTATCTCTACAAAATGTATAAATCCTGAATCTGACATCTAGCCACCTCCATAGATAACTGCTAGAGACCCAGTCTCCTACATCATCCTTTCACAAACATTTTCATCCATGGACTCCATACTAGAATATTTGAAGAAACAAACATGACAAACATTTTCATTTACCACTGCTTCCTAGTAGTATATTAGTTAATGCTTCTTAGCCAAAATCCATCTTCATCATTTCCTGATAAATGTTTTCCTCTTTAAGAATTTGCTTTGTTCTCTGACCTAACCATATTCCTTAAAGAAGAAAATAAATCCAGAAAAGAAGCCAGTCCTGTTTTAACAGCTTCCGTGTTCCTACTAGATTTAGAAAACTGCCCTAGACTTGTTGTCTGATATCTTTCTTCCACAACCTTTTCCAACCTTGGCTATATATTAAAATCACCAGAGGAACCTTGAGAAATATCAACTCCTGGACTCTACTCTCAAAGATTTTGACATATAGTAACTGGTTTCAACTGGGGCTGGCTAAAATTATCTCCAGGGAATTCTAAGCAGCAGACAAGGTTGAGAACCTAGACTATTATAATAGACTCTTAACTGGTGTTCCTGATTCTACACTTGCTCCCATAAATACAGTCTTTTCTCCTTGTAGCTAGAGTTACGTTTTAAAACGGTAAAATCAGAGCCATGAAACTTTCTATCACAATAACAATAAAACCTCAAAGAGGCCTTCTCTGAAATTCCTATTTTAATTCTGATTTGCTTCCATTATTCTCTATCTCCTTCACCTGGTTAATTTTTCTTTATAGAATTTATCATTACCTATTACTTAATTATATATTTATTAATTTATCTTGCTAGACTATAAACATTTGGAGGTCAAGGATCTTGCCTTGTCTTCCTCACAACTCTATCTCTGATGCCTAAAAAATACAGTAGCAGCATAGTAACTATTTGTGAAATCAATTAATGCTATATTAAAAAAGCAGTTGCTAATCTTTCCCCTTGACTATTTTGTGCACATGATTTCTAATAATTGAAAAAAAATTGATTTACCATTTTTATGCCTCTAAAATTATCTCCAAAAGAGACAACTAATCTCACTAGATCTCAGTCAAAATTAAGAATTCAGGATCCCAACAGAACTTTTTCAAACTATTGAAAACAAGAATTGTAAAAATATGATAACATTAACTTTAAAACAAATTCCCCGCAAAATCTGCCATCATCATTTGTAATACTAAAACAAACTGTATTAGCTAATCATTGCATATTGTCTGAGTGAAAGCTTGAAAGTTAAAAAAACTCAGGAACTAGGAAGAAGAGCCTAAATCTGAGTAATATTTATTACTGTGATACAGCTGGTTTCTCACCCTCTTTGTTTTACCAGTTTCCTGTCATCAGCGAACCAAGCAGAACACTGAAGTCATTAACCTAGTGTGTAGGTGGCATTCTGACCCACTCCAGGAAATCATCTTGGGGGAATTCCCAAATCTCTTCAGACAAAACCAAATTACTGATTTCTTATCTGGCCAGGAATAAAGCTTGTGACTTACCTGTAAATGAATCATAGCTCATTCTGAGTCTGATTTACTAGTCAGAAGATGAAATCTCCTTTGGAAAGGAATGTTTCCCTCTACAGAGAGTAAAACAAATGATGGAAACAAGTATTCCCCTAGAGAGAGAGAGTGCTTCTGTGAGCATTATACTTTCCAAGTAACATCTGAGCACCACCATAGGGCCCAATAGTCTGGTGTTAGTTCAGAATGTTCCACATCTATGACCTTGGGCAGTTTATATGATCTTCCTGTTCCTCAGTTTCCTCATCTATAAAATGGAGATAACGATAGTATTTACCTTAAAAAACTATAGTGAGAATTACACGAATTAGTGAATACAAAGTGTTTAGAAAAGTGTCAAGGCACTTGGAAGTGCTATTTAAGTGTTAGCAATCACTAGCCTGGTGCAGTGGCTTATGCCTATAATCTCACCACTTCGGGAGGCTGAGGCAGGAGGTTCATTTTAGACCAGAAGTTTGAGATCAGCCTGGGCAATGCAACGAGAATCCATCTCAACAAATTTTAAAATTAGCCTGCATAGTGGCATGCACCTGTAGTCCCAGCTACTCAGGAGGCTGAGGTGGGAGGATTGCTTGAGCTCAGGAGGTCGAGGCTGCAGTGAACAGTGTTCATGCCACTGCATTCCAGCCTGGGCAGCAGAGTAAGACCCTGTCAAAAAACAAACAAAAATTACTAAAAGCATGGACTGCAGAGCCAGCTGTTTCCTGCCCTCCTGGATAGATAACATTGGGCAGATAACATTACCTTTCTGTGCCTCTAATTCCTTCTGTAAAATTGAGATAGCATATACCTCAATAGGATTGTGTATTAAGTGACTTAAGAAAAGCCCATACAATGAATTTATTATCATTATTGCTGTGATTGTCATGATCTTAGATTATAATTCAGTGAAAGATTTTTGAAGCATTGATCTCTTCCATGTCTCCTGCTTCTTTGGTTACTATTTCTTAGGCCCCTGAAGTGATCCCTTTCCTTTGGTGGCTTCCTAAAGAAATAGTCAATCCCTAAGAATATATTCTTGGCCCTCTCATCTCATCCTATCCCTTCTCCTTTGATAACATTATTACTTTAATATGTCCATTATTACTTCTTAGGAAGATGACTTCTAAAGCTGGATAGCCCAGGCCTCTCTGGGGAACTTTGGACCTTAACTGGACATGGATGTTCCTTAGCTTTTTAGATGTGTCTCTGCAGAACAAAACTTACCTGTTTCCTCAAAAACTTTTCCTCCTTCTTGTTCTTGTCTTACCAGCTTTGACTCCTCTCTCCCGCTCATCCTTTATATCTAATCACCAAATCCTATTTTTTTTCAGCTTAAAATTTTAATTTATTCAGTTCATTCAAGAGTAAGTGTACCCTCGGGGTTGGATTATGTCACTGTAACATGTAAATGAGAAATGTTGGCTGGTCTTTTGAACACACAATATATAAACTTGAGAGTAGTTAATTGCTTAGTATTATCCACTATTTGGATTTGGAAACAGAGAAAATAAGTATTCAGCAAGAGGGCAAGGCATGTAAAAAGCCAAAGAGAGACAAAATATATTTTTGAGTTCAATAATGCATGCCAGTCCAGGCTTGTTCCTCGAGGCTTGCTGAATGTTGAATCCTTTGCTTGGTGCCTAGAAGTGTTTTTTTTTCATTTCCAACTTTTATTTTAAGTTCAGGGCTACATGTGCAAGATGTGCAGGTTACAGAGGTAAACATGTGCCATAGTGGTTTGCTACACAGATTATCTCATCACCTAGGTATCAAGCTCAGCATCCATCAGCTAGTCTTCCTGATGCTTTCCCTCCTTCCAACCCCCACCCTCTGACAGGCCCCAGTGTATGTTGTTCCCCACCTTGTGTCCATGTGTTCTCATCATTCAGCTCCCACTTATAAGTAACAACATGCAGTATTTGGTTTCCTGTTTTTGCATTAGTTTGCTGAGGATAATGGCTTCCAGCTCCATCCATGTCCCTGAAAAGGACATGATCTCATTCCTTTTTATGGCTGCATAACATTCCATGGTATATATGTACCACATTTTCTTTATCCAGTCTATCATTGATGGGCATTTAGGTTGATTCCATGTCTTTGCTATTGTGAACACTGCTGCAATGAACATACACGTGCCCACATCTTTATAACAGAATGATTTATGCTCCTTTGGGTGTATACCCAGTAATGGGATTGCTGGGTCAAATCGTATTTCTGCCTCTAGATATTTGAGGAATCACCACAGTGTCTTCCACAATGGTCAAACTAATTTACACTCCCACCAATAGTGTAAAAGCATTTATTTTTCCCCACAACCTCACCAGCATCTGTTGTTTTTGACTTTTTAATAACTGCCATTCTGACTGGCTGAGATGATATCTCATTGTAGTTTTGATTTGCATTTCTCTAATGGTCAGTGATGAGCTTTTTTCCATCTGTTTATTGGTCACATGTATGTCTTCTTTTCAGAAGTGTCTGTTTATGTCCTTTAGCCCACTTTTTAATGGGTTTTTTTTTCTTGTAAATTTAAATTCCTCGTAGATGCTGAATATTAGACTTTGGTCAGATGGATAGATTGCAAAAATTGTCTCCCGTTTTGTAGGCTGTCTGTTCACTCTGAAGACAGTTTCTCTTGCTGTGCAGAAGCTCTTTAGTTTAATCAGATCCCATTTGTAAGTTTTTGATTGTTGCAATTGCTTTTGGTGTCTTCATCATGAAATATTTGCCCATGCCTATGTCCTGAATGGTATTGCCTAGATTTTCTTCTAGGGTTTTTATAATTTTAGGTTTTACATTTAAGTCATTAATCCATCTTCAGTTGATTTTTGTATGTGGTGTAAGCAAAGGGTCCAGTTTCGATTTTCTGTATATGGCTAGCCAGTTCTCCCAGCACCATTTACTAAATAGGGAATCCTTTCCCCATTGCTTGTTTTTCTCAGGATTGTCAAAGATTAGATGGTTGTGGGTGTGCTCTCCAGCAAGGGCTCAGAACTAGGCTGAGGCTGAGATGGCTGAAATGGCAGAAGTAAACTTCAGAAGGTAGGTAATAATGAACTTTGCTGAGCTAAAGGAACATGTTTAACCTAATGCAAAGAAGCTATGAATCGTGATAAAACAAAACAGGAGCTGACAGCCAAAATAGCCAGTTTACACAGGAACATAATCAATCTCTTAGAGCTGAAAAACATACTACAAGAACTTCACAATGGAATCATAAGTATTAACAGCAGACTAGACCGAGTGGAGGAAAGAATCTCAGAGCTTGAAGACTATCATTCTGAGATAAGACAGGCAGACAGGAATAGAGAAAAAAGAATGAAAAGGAATGAACAAAACCTCTGCGAAATATGGGATTATGTAAAGCGACAGAATCTATGACTGATTGGGGTACCTCAAAGACATGGTGAGAATGGAACCAAGTTGGAAATCATACTTCAGAATGTCATGCGGGAGAACCTCCCCAACCTAGCAAGACAGGCCAACATTCAAATTCAGTAAATGCAGAGAACCCCAGTAAGATACTCCACGAGCAGATCATCCCCAAGACACATAATCATCAGATTCTCCAAGGTCAAAATGAAAGAAAAAAATATTAAGGGCAGCCAGAGAGAAAGGCCAGGTCACCAACAAAGGGAAGCCCATCAGACTATTAGCAGATCTCTCAGAAAAAAACCCTGCAAGCCAGAAGAGATTGGGGGCCAATATTCAACATTCTTACAGAAAAGAATTTCCAAGCCAGAATTTCGTAACTGGCCAAACTAAGCTTCATAAGTGAAGAAGCAATAAGATCCTTTTCAGACAAGCAATTGCTGAGGATATTTGTTACCACCACACTTGCCTCGCAAGAGCTCCTGAAGAAAGCACTAAATAAGGAAAGGCAAAACCATTACCAATCACTACAAAAACACACTGAAGTGCACAGACCAGTGATACTATGAAGCAACCACAAAAACAAGTCTGCAAAATAACCAGCTGGGATCATGATGACACGATCAAATCTACACATAACAATACTAACTTTAAATGTAAATGGGCTAAATACCCCAATTAAAAGACACAGAATGGCCAGTTGGATAAAGAACCAAGACCCATCAGTATACTGTCTTCAAGAGAGGCATCTCACATGCAAAGACACACACAGGCTCAAAATAAAGTGATGGAGGAAAATTTACCAAGCAAATGGAAAACAGAGAAAAGCAGGGTTTGCAATTCTGGTTTCTGACAAAATAGACTTTAAACCAACAAAGATCAAAAAAAAAAAAACAAAAAAAGGGCATCACATAATCTTAGTGTTCAATTCAACAAGAAGGTTAACTATCCTAAATACATATGTACCCAATACAGGAACAATCAGATTCATAAAGTAAATTCTTAGAGGCCTTCAAAAAGACTTAAACTCACACACAATAATAATGGGAGATTTTAACACCCCACTGACAATATTAAATCATCAAGAAAGAAAATTAACAAAGATATTCAGGGCCTGAACTCAGCTCTGGATCAAGTGAATCTGATAAATATCTACAGAACTCTCCACCCAAATACAACAGAAGATACATTCTTCTCATCACCACATGGCACTTACTCTAAAATTGATCACATAATCAGAAGTAAAACACTCCTCAGAAAATGTGAAAGAACTGAAATCATAACAGTCTCTCAGACCACAGCACAATCAAATTAGAACTCAAGATTAAAAGATTCACTCAACACAACACAACTACATAGAAATTGAACAACCTGCTCCTGAATGACTTTGGATAAAAAATGAAATTAAGACAGAAATCAAGAAGTTCTTTGAAACTAATGAGAACAAAGAGACAATGTACCAGAATCTCTGGGATGCACCTAAAGCAGTGTTAAGAGGGAAATTTATTGATTATAATTCACAATAAATTTTGAAAATATCTCCTCCTGTCCATTTTCCCTGCCACTGCTCTAGTTCACAATTACAGTAACCTCCTAATGGGTCATGCTACCTCCTGAAATCACCCTCTGATATCAATATCACACATTACTTAGCACAAAAAGGAATGAAGTACAAATACATGCTACAATTGGGTGTTGAAAACATCATGCTAAGTGATACATATACAGTGTACTGAGTTGAATGGTGTCCCCCAAAATTTCATGTCCACCTGAACCTGTAAATGTGACCTTATTTAGAAATAAGGTCATGGCATATGTAATCACATTAAGAAGAAGTCATACTGGATTACCACGGACCCTAAATCCAATATGACTGGTACATTCTACCACCAGCAACTACCAGAAGCTGGGAAGAGGCAAGGAAAGATCTTCCCCTAGAGCCTTCAGAGGAAGCATGGTCTAACTCGATGTTAGACTTCTAGCCTCCAGAACTGTGAGAGAAAAAATTTGTTGTTATAAGCCTCCCAGTTTGTGGTAATTTGTTTTGGTAGTCCTAGGAAACTAATTCAGATAGTACAGACTTACCAATCTTGTTTATCCAATCATCAGTTGATGGATATTTGGGTTGTTTCTACTTTTGGCTAATATGAATAATGCTACTATGGACATTCATGTACAAGTACATTTATTATGTATTTGGAATTAATTTTGTAAAAGGCATGAGACTTAGGTTGAAGTTCATTTTTTACCTAAAGATATTCACCTGCTTCACAACTATTTGTTGAAAAGACTATCCTTCCTCCATTGAATTGCTCTTGCACCTTTATCAAAAATTAGTTTGTCATACTATATGTACTTGTGTGGTGCTATGTCTAGGTTTTCTATTCTGTTCTATTGGTCTATATCAAAAAATCCTGAAATCAAGGCTACACATGAGTCTTGAAATCAAGGAGAGCAATTCTTCCTTCTTTATTCTTCTTTTTCAGAATTGTTTTAACTATTTTACTTCCTTTGCCTTTCCACATACAATTTGGAATAATCTTATCCATATTTATAAAAAAAATCACTTGGTAAATCCTAAGGTTTTTAAAAACCAATTGTATGTGGATAACTCCCACATTTATATTTCCAAGACCAGGCTTCCTCAAGGTCCACACATGAATATCCAACTAACCACTTAACAGCTACACTTGGCTGCTTGGTTTTGAATATGTTAATTTGGGGATGCCTATTAAATCTTC
The DNA here is from genome assembly GCF_000001405.40 of Homo sapiens. Lineage (NCBI taxonomy): Eukaryota > Metazoa > Chordata > Mammalia > Primates > Hominidae > Homo > Homo sapiens. The sequence continues at coordinate 117,429,468 of NC_000007.14, read as the reverse complement.
ACGTTTATCCACTGGTCTTCCCCCATCTCAGTAAATGCAATGACTACTTAGCCAGTTGCTCAAACCAAAAACCTTCTCTACAATAGACCTAGAGTGTCTTTAAATACATACACACATCAGAACATGTCTTTCATTAGCTTAAAAACATTTCACTGTTCAATTGCTTTCAGTAAAATCCAGATTCCTACTTAAGGCCCACAAGGACCTCTCATCACACACGCCTATCCTTACGAAGCTGTAGCCTCAGGCCTTCTTTCTGGTCCAAGCAGGACAAGAACTAAGGTAAGTGAGGTGACCCAGGAGCAAAATTTAAAAAGGCACTCACTGAATTTGCAGGACCCTGACAGTACTTCCTTAAACTTTGCTTCTTAGGGGACTCACTTGCCCCAGCCTCACTTGCCCCATCCTGGTCCTGAGTTGCTTTTTTCTTGCCTTAGGACCTTGGCACTATTCCTGTCCACTGCCAGGAAAGCTCTATTCTCCCACTCTTATATGGCTTGTTATTTACGACTCTGCACAGTTCTGACTATCCTATCTAAAATCTACCTCTTACATTGAGAAAGACCTTATTCTAAGCCTATTACTTCATTTAGTCCTCATAACAATTCTATTTGGTGGGTACTATCATCACCTCCATTCTACAGATAAGTTAGCTGGTACCCAGATAGATGCTAAGTAAATTGCCTAAGGGCACACAGCTACAGCTAGTGATTCCCCCAGGAAACACAAAAGTGGTTTGATTCCAGAAACAGAGCACACTTGTTTCTTTTGAAGCACTTACAATCTGCAATAGTGTTTTTGTTTCCTTGCATATTGTCTATCTCTACTTATTAAAGTGAGCTCCATAAGGCTCCATGGTTTATCTTTGACGTTGTCTCCCCAAACCTAGTAGCACTTGGCTGTGCTAAGTAATCCCTAGCATTTATTGAATGAATGCATTTAGAAAGACAGATGTGGCACGCAAATAGCTAAACTACTTAAAAATACTTACCTCTGAGCCTCTAAAGTAAATAATTTCAAAATCTTTTATCAGAGAATCTGCAAGAAAAAAACCGCAAAAGCTTTCAAATAATAGTGCATGGCTATTATCTTGAGATACATATAATATGCCCTGTTTCTTGGTGGATCTACTTTTCTGTGGTGGCAAAGAAAATCACTGTGTTACCAACATCTAGAAGTTCTACCATCTAGAACCATGTAGAAAGGTGAGTTCGAGCTTGGGCCACTTCCACCTGGAGTTGTTTGTATTATTTGCTCTCTGGACGTTTAAGTCATTTCTTTCTTTCTGGCTCTTTGGATCCACTGTACCCGGAAACCCCCTCCTTTCATATTTTCCTCTAGGACATCTACACTTCATAGCGGGGAAGTGTTTTGATGGTCTGAAGCTTCTAAATCTAAGGTGAGATCTAAGATCACATGAAATGTAAAGGAAGAATTCTTTGGGGCAGTATTTTCTCCTGGCTCCTTCGTCGGCTCCTACTTGCGTAAGGGCTTCTTGAATGTCTGAGTGGTGCTCCTGAGAGAGGTGTTACTACGAAGAGTCCGTCTCCCAGGGGATACAGATTTAACAGACGTTTGGCAGGGGGCAGATGAAAAGGATGGCGGGGAAAGTCTAGTCTTACTTGCCGTTAAATCCTAGTGTGCTCCTGCCACAAGTAAGGCATTCCTTGCAGAGCAAGAATTTCATCATTTCATCAAGCAAATACTTTAAAGAGGTCGAAAGGTAAGTCCCTGAGAGGAACTGGAAGTGCCAGCAGAAGCCTGGCGCACGAACTTCGTCACCAGTGTCAGACACGCCAGGTTTTCACCTCAAGAAGCCTCAAGGTTAGGGAGGGACGGGGCAGGGAGGAGAGCAGCGCGCCGCTGTGCGCCTGCGCTGGAGGGCTCCAGACTGGAGCGCTTCCACGGCGCTCCTTCCCGCGCATCTCTACGTACGCCCCACCCCGGTGCGCATGCGCCCGGAGAGCTGAAGGGCGCGCGGTGCCGACAGGGAGCTTCCTTGGCTGGCATGGCGGCGAGCGCGCTGCGAGGCCTGCCAGTGGCTGGCGGAGGCGAGAGTAGCGAGAGCGAGGATGATGGCTGGGAGATTGGGTATCTCGACCGGACGTCTCAGGTAGCGGAGGAGGCCTTGTCTTGACCACACCTGGTTTCAGCCTCCCCTGGCCCTCGAAGGCGAGGCCCAGCCTCGTGAAACCTCCTACTCCCTCACGTGTATTTCCCTTTTACCCAGTGGAAATACGGGAGTTTGTACTTAAGCAAACCCGCACAAATTTCCTCGTGTTCCCTCCCCAACTGTGGTTACCACCAAATACGCTTCTTTAGGTCATCGTAACTCCTCAGTTGGGTTTGGATCCATCATTACCTATTCCCTTGAAAGATAATTTTCGACACGAATTCTTTTCAAACTTTGTATCTTAGTCAAAATAAAGCCAAGAAAAAAAACCTGTGTACTTAACCAAACATTATTGTTTCCTGATGAGGTGGAAACAAAAATATATATAACAAGAATTTTTTAAAATGTTTACTTTTCTAGAAATTGAAAAGGCTATTACCCATTGAAGAAAAGAAAGAAAAATTTAAGAAAGCAATGACCATCGGAGATGTTTCATTGGTCCAGGAGCTCCTAGATTCTGGTGAGAGATAAGGGACAGTTTCATCTGAACACAGCTGTCTTAAGTTCGCAAGGATTCTTTATTTTTAAAAGGTTTATGTTGCTTTTCTAATGGAAACGCAACAAATGTTAATGTATCATCCTGCATAATCTTCGTTGACTGAGTCCAGTCTGCCTTATTTTCTTCCTCTCTGCTTGCATTTGGAATGCCACCCTGTTTATCTTCCATCAGTTCTTCCCCCTCCTTCAAGCAAGAGGCCTACTCTAATCCTATCCCACTCTGATCATTCTTAATTCTCTCTTCATTTACTCTGCTGTAATGTTGTTTCTTTTTTCTTTTCTTTTTCTTTTTTTTTTTTTTTTTTTTTTGAGATGTTATCTTGCTCTGTGGCCCAGGCTGGAGTGCAGTGGCGCGATCTTGGCTCACTGCAATCTCCACCTTCGGGTTCAAGCGATTCTCCTGCCTCACCCTCCTGAGTAGCTGGGACTACAAGCGCGTGACACCACGCCCGGCTAATTTTTTTTTTTTTTTGTATTTTTAATAGAGAGAGGGTTTCACCGTGTTAGCCAGGATAGTCTCGATCCTCTGACCTTGTGATCCGCCTGTCTCGGCCTCCCAAAGTGCTGGGATTACAGGCATGAGCCACCGTGCCCTGCCTGTTGTATGTTTCTTAAGAAATGGTTCTACATTTTAGTTCTTTCTCGTTACAGTTTTTTGTTTTGTACTGGTGGAATGAGGCCTGAGCTAGGAATCAGAATAAATATATGGATAATTTCTTCCAGTTTATTGCCCACTCTGGTTTCTTGGAAGAGGCATTAAAACTTTGAGAGCATCAGATTTCATTTTTGGGGGGTTGAAGGAAGGGGATGGAGTGTCTCTCTCTAGCCCTGCTGGAGTGCAGTGGCACCATCTTCGCTCACTGCAACCTCCATCTGGGGGCCGGGATTCAAGTGATTCTCCCACCTCAGCCTCCGGAGTAGCCGGGACTAAAAGCACCGGTCACCAAGCCCAGCTAATTTTGGTAATTTTAGTAGACACGGGGGTTTCACCATGTCGGCCAGGCTGGTCTTGAACTACTGACCTCAAGTAATCACCCACCTCGGCCTCCCAAAGTGCTGAGATTACAAGCAAGAGCCACCGCCCCCAGCCAGAGAGCATCAGTTTCTTTATGTAAAGCATCATAATTCTGTCCTGGGCTTCATGAATTTTTTGTGTATTAAATAAAAAAAAAACTTTAAATTACCTTCACATAGAAATGTAAATTATTGATTATAATGATTGAAATTACTGGCCGGGCGCGGTGGCTCACGCCTGTAATCCCAGCACTTTGGGAGTCCAAGGCGGGCGGATCACGAGGTCAGGAGATCGAGACCATCCTGGCTAACACAGTGAAACCCCGTCTCTACTAAAAAACACAAAAAAAATTAGCTGGGCGTGGTGGCGGGCGCCTGTAGTCCCAGCTACGCGGGAGGCTGAGGCAGGAGAATGGCGTGAACCCGGGAGGCGGAGCTTGCAGTGAGCCGAGATCGCGCCACTGCACTCCAGCCTGGGCGACAAAGCGAGACTCCGTCTCAAAAAAAAAAAAAAAAAAAAAAAAGAAATTACTCAAAGGAATAACAAGCATTTACTTCAGTTTGATGCAAAAATAATTGTGGTTTTTGCCATTGTAGATACAAAACATTCACACACAAGGTAGTTAGATGTGATTATATATAGCATAATGTTTTTCTTCTATGCTAGAATCAATGCATAGTTTACTGAAAAGTAAATAATTTTGAAAACAAGACAGATCTGGGTTTGATTACTAACCATGCCACTTGATGGCTTTGTAACCTTGACTAAGTTACCAAATCTTCCTAAGCTTCAATTTCTGCCCGTTTTAAAATGAGGATTATTATATCAAAGGGTTGTTGGCAAGGGGGAGAATTAAAATACGCTTTTAAAGGACTTAGAACACATAGGAATTATGTAAACATTACCTGTTATTCTTATAAGAAATGAGAAGGATCTGTATGACTTTTTGGACAATGGAACTTGAGTTTGGAATTGAAAAACGAAATTGAATAAACTCTGAATAAGTAGAAAGAGGCCCGAATACCTAATATTAATATATGTATAGTGTACATAGCATGGGGTGGAATAGGCAGAGATTTGTTTTAGAAAAGAAAATTTGCCTTAGGAGTAGTGGGACTAGGTACAGTGAATGTGATAGAGGCTTTTGAAGGATTAAGACTTGATATGATTGATGGGCAGATGTGAGCTTTTCAGTCTCTTGAACAGAGCCTACTGCTAAGTATTTAGTCAACCATTTGAAATTTGTTTTTAGTTACAAAAATTTTTAAAGTTCATTTTTAAAAGGCAGTAATAGAGATATAGGTAGAAGGAGAAAGATTTCTTTACCATTGTCCTCACTGTCATTCCCCTTACTGCTGATGCCTCACTTTCACAGGTTAACTCCTGTTTTAGGGTATTTCCTTCCAGATGTCATTATGTAACTCTTTTTAAAAATATTGTTAATTTTTTGCCTTTCAAAGTCATTATTGTTCTTGAAACATGCTTCTGCACCAATTGGAAACTCTAAAAATAAAAGCACATTTTGAGTCAGCCACTTTTAACCATTTGAAGATGTCTCCAGTTTTTGTTATTCTGTGTACTATCATTTTCAATTTTCTTTAAAGTATGACATATTTTAGACATTCAGAAAAGTACGGTACCCCCTCTGGAGATAACTACTTTTCTATAGTTGATGTTTATCATTCTTATGAGTATCTTTATACTTTTACTATGTCCCTAAACAATATAGTATTATTTTGAATGTTTTTGAGCTCTATAAATATACTGTGTTCATCCTTTTGAAACTTACCTTTTTTTGCACTATGCCTGGAACATAATATGTGCTTAGTAATTTATGTTAAATATTAGAGGTTAAATATTAAGTTAGAATTTTAGTAAGAATTTTTATACTAAAATGCCACATTTGCTTTTTTTTTTTTTTGAGATGGAGTCTCACTCTGTCGCCCAGGCTGGAGTGCAGTGGCATGATCTTGGCTCACTGCAAGCTCTGCCTCGTGTGTTCACGCAATTCTCCTGCCTTGGCCTCCCAAGTAGCTGAGACTACAGGCACCCACCACCACGCCTGGCTAATTTTTTTTTTTTTTTTTTTTTTTGTATTTTTAGTAGAAACAGGGTTTCACTGTGCTAGCCAAGATGGTCTCAATCACCTGACCTCGTGATCCACCCACTTCGGCATCCCAAAGTGCTGGGATTACAGGCATGAGCCACCGTGCCTGGCCTTTGCTTCTTTTTCTTTGCATCTTTTCCTTTCTATCTTTGCTATCACAGTTTGAGCAGTATTCTCAATAAATTGAGAAAACAATGATCTTTTCTCTGATCTCATTGATAAGCTTTCAATCAAAGCAGTTCAAAGAGGAAGATTTGTTAGAGAAGACAAGTAGGGCTAGCAGTAGATGTCTATACTAAGATGGTTTAATGTTTTCTCCCAGTGATTATTATGTACCTTATATCAATTAAAATTAGACAGTTAGAAATTAGACATATGTAGTCTTTCAGTGACCCGGTGTTTATACAGCCAAAAAAGTGACAGAGTGAGATCCTAAAAAAAAACAACAAAATACAAACAAACAAAAAAAACTTACTTTCAATACCTGATATCTCCCTTTATTTTAGCTCACTGCTTGTCATTCGATTGTCCAAGACAGAATTTGATAGTCATTTTTAATTTGTTGTTGTCCATCATACCTCCTCCTCAAAGTAATTTTAAATTCTGATGACCCTGCCTTTGAAATGTCCTTTTGTTTTCCTTCCTTTCTCTCTCCACTGCCCTTGCTCTGATTGTCGTATAAACTTCCTGTGTTATAACTAGTTTCCTTGCCTCCTGTCCCATTCTCAATAGTGGTGTCTATGTTGTCTTTATAATACATATGTAATGATGTCAGTTCCTGGATCACAAAACAGAGTCTGCGTTTCTTAAGGGAGTTTTCATAATCTAACCTTAACCTGTCTTTTTAGCTTCATGTTTTATCAGTCACCCATGGGTAAGTTTAGTGTTAGGAATAAAGTTAAAGGTTTTTGAGGGATATATGTGGTATTTTCAACCATAGAGATAACTGATATTGCCCAGGGATAATATTCTAATTTAAAAGACATTTTACCTCTGTGAAACCTTTCCAGCTCCCCTAGAGAAAAAAAAGGTAGCATGTAAAAACCTGTTATAATATACATACTCAGTTACATATATGATAAAACATCAGTCATATCAGTCTCGGAACATAGTGCCTGTAGTGAAACTGAAGTTAGCAAATTGTGTTAATGTCCCAATATAACTATTTTGTATTTTTTGGAAGCCATTAAAAACTTCCCATGGTGGAATAAAGTACATGATGTACGTCACTTTACACAGTACTTTAAGCATATAAGGTGACTGATTTTTTTCTTTGGTGGTAGTGTGCTTTTAAAAGCTTGTTTTTATATTGACAGGCATTAGTGTAGATTCCAACTTTCAGTATGGATGGACTCCCCTTATGTATGCTGCTAGTGTTGCCAATGCAGAGCTGGTTCGGGTCCTTTTGGACAGAGGTGCTAATGCAAGCTTTGAGAAGGGTAAGATGTTTTAGATAACTTAAATGATTATGCTTACTGTGATTCCTTGGTTTCCAAGTAGCTATTATATAAAGTGCAAAAAACTAAAGCCATTTGAAGTAACCTTTCTATTCATTATACTATGTAAATAATATACAAAATCAAATTAGAAACCATACATATTCTGAAAAACTCTCTTTCCAAAAACATAAATTCCAGTTATAGTATCTTTATAACTGGTTGTTATTATATATCTTTAAGGTTTTGGTTGTTTTTAAAGGAAAAATTCTTGAAAGAAACATTAAAAAGTTTATAATTTAGTGGCAAATTACTGGAAAATCAGTCTGTGGAATTTTAAACTAAACTCCAAATTACATCACTTAAAGTTGTTTCAAAGATAGTTCATGAAATCCATCTTTGTCCTTGTTACTAAATAATTTCCATTCAGAAGTGCTTTGAGTGTAAGAAGAACAAGAGTATATGAGCAAATCCAGTTTAATTATTACATTGAATTCCTGATTACTTATTTTTAACATATTTTCAATAGACAATTAAATTTTCTTCATAATTTCAGGTATAGGTTTCATTTTAGAATTGATTTTTACATTTTATACCTACAATTTTATTCTTTTTTCTCATTTATATATTTTACATAAATTTCTGTCTTAGCAACAGTTTCATGTTTAATATTTTCTATTAGGTTTTTCTTTTTATTATATCATTTAAAAATATCACTTGGCCAGGCATGGTGGCTCATGCTTATAATCCTAGCAATAGCACTTTGGGAGTCTAAGGCAGGAGGATCACTTGAGCCCAGGAGTTCAAGATCAGCCTGGACAACATAGTGAGACTTTGTCTCTACTAACAATAAAAAAATATTAGCCAGGGGTGGTGGCACACACTTATAGTCTCAACTACTCAGAAGGCTGAGGCAGGAGGACTGCTTGAACCCAGGAGTTCGAGGTTGCAGTGAGTTATGATCATGCTACTGCACTCCAGCCTGGACAACAGAGTGAGACACTGTCTCAAAAAAAAATTACTCAATGAAAGCTATGCTTAGGAATGAGGTTTTCAAAAGTGTATAAAATATTCTGCTCAAAAAATTAATTAATAATTATTCTTTTTATACTTCCCCCTCCTTGTAATCAGAGGGATAGTTAGAGCTATAAAATATATTTTTCACAGAATGTACACATGAGTTTTTTATGTGTCCCACAATAACCCTGTTACATACAAAGGGCAGATACTAGGTTCTTATCTGTATGTTAAATCTAATGAGCTATTAAGATATCACAAGAGTTACAGTTTCTTAGTGGCAGGACTGGGACTAGAATATGCTCTGTCAGTATTGAGCCACTAATGTGAATCATAGCTGTTGTGACCTATTTTGAAGTCTTAATTCAAAATAGGTGTTTTTTGTGTTTAATTTACTCTGATCTTTGCTGGCACCATGAGAGCCAAGGGAAGAAGAGTTTTAGGAAACAGTGAGTTCAGAAAGATGAAGTACAAAAGGACTGAAAAGAAACCAAACCAATGGATGTGGCAGTCATAGCAATTTCAGTAGGGTAGTTTATAAGCCAGATTTCAGGAGTTTTCAAATGGATAAGAAGTGAAATCAGAGAATATAGATCATTGTTTCCCAAACATGAGTTTAGCAAGGCAAATTTTAATCAACCAAAAACTGTTCAAATCCAGACAATGTGGCTGTGTCCATGTCCTTAACCACTTTCTGTTCTCTTGAAGTAATGGGAGTAAGAGGGGAAGGAAGTTAAATGAATTATAGATAAACTTTGGAGACTGAAGGGATTCATGTCTAATCTCATCTTTCGATGAAGGAAGACAAAGTTACCTGCTAAGAGTGAGAGATTTGGGAAGAGGTTATAGAGTTTTAGAGTGCAATAATAGAATGTTTTGAGTGGTAAAGACATCGAATAGATGCTCTTGATGTATGGGGATTTTTCCTCACTTTTCTATTCACTATAGATAAGCAAAGTATTTTGATAACTGCATGTTCTGCTCATGGCTCAGAGGAACAGATCTTGAAGTGTGTAGAACTACTACTTTCAAGAAATGCTGATCCAAATGTTGCTTGTAGGTAAGAGCCTTTATATCTGTTCAAAATTCAAGTCAAATTAGAATTTTTCTTTGGTATCAGCCTTTTAAAAATCATGAACAATGTTTACTTGGCCAAATAGTTGATGAATGAAAATAGTTCATAAGGTCATTGTTCCAATTCTATAAGATTATCAGAGGAAGGGGATATCATGAAAGTAGTCTTTCAACTCTACATTTTGAGAGAAACGTCATAAGAATTTAGAATGAGAGGGAAAGGAGGACAATAAACTATAGTATCTTTTCTTGTGAATCATACTACTCTAAAGAATATGACGATTGACCTGTAAGAGTAAAGCCTTTTAATGTTCTCTCTGTATAACATTTAACAACTAAACAATTTTACAAAAATACTAAGAAAATATATCCATTTTCTATTTTCCTAATTGTTTCCATTTTCTTAAGACTTCACGAATTAACTAGGTAATAACATGTATGTAATAGTGCCTAGATGCATAGAAGACAAGCAGTAAATGTATCTTGCATCTTTTGAAATGTCAGTAATAAAAATGAATCAGATTGCTTAAAATTTCTATCACATTGGCTTCCTTTCTGACTCTATCTTCTATTTCATCTTCCTATTAAATCTCTCTTTGTGTTTCATTTAATCTTTAAAATGAGTAGGAAGTAGCCCATCTAACAAAAATGTCTAGCACAAATAGAATTATTATTCATAATTCATTAGTTCAGATAATGATGATCTAGTACCTGATATACAGAAATAATTATGCTACACTCTGGAAGTTTTTTTCTAAATTGGTTCAGTTTCTATGATACCTGGACAGCAACCTTGGAAGCTACTTTACAGCTTTAGATAGTTCCCAAATCTTTGTTGAGATTTAAAAAAATAATATTTTAGTCTAGTTGTAGTGGTTCTCAAGCAAGGTCTATTTGGCCTTTCAGGGGATATTTGGCAATGTCTAGAGACATTTTTGATTGTTATACCTGAGAAATACTACTGGTACCTAGTGGATAGAAGCCAGGGATGCTGCTGAACATCCCAAAATGCATAGAACAATCCCTCAAAACAAAGAATTACAAATCCCCAAATGTCAGTAGTGCCATGGTTGAGAAACCCTGATCTAGTGTGAGAAGGGCCAAGATGTATTGAGTGGATAATTAATATTTAAACAAAGATAAAAAAGAACTGGCAGAGAAACTACCTGCAAACCTGTATTTTTTTTTAAGACAGGGTCTTGCTCTGTCACCCATGCTGGAGTGCAGTGGCACCATCGTGGCTCGCTGTAACTTCTGCCTCCCAGTCTCAGGTGATCCTCCCACCTCAGCCTCCAGAGTAGCTGGGACTACAGGCACACACTACCACAGTTGGCTAATTTTTGTATTTTTGTAGAGACGGGGTTTCACTATGTTGCCCAGGCTGGTCTTGAACTCCAGGGCTCAAGCAATCTGCCTGCCTCCACCTCCCAAAGTGCTGGGATTAAAAGTGTAAGCCACCATAACTGGCCTACCTGCAAACATTTTTTTTTTTTTTTGAGATGGAGTCTTGCTCTGTCGCCCAGGCTGGAGTGCAGTGGCACGATCTTGGCTCACTGCAACCTCTGCCTCCTGGGTTCAAATGATTCTCTTGCCTTAGCCTCCTGAGTAGCTAGGATTAGAGACGCACGCCACCACGACTGACTGATTTTTGTATTTTTAGTAGAGATGGGGTTTCACCATGTTGGCCAGACTGGTCTCAAACTCCTGACCTCATGATCCGCCCACTTTGGCCTCCCAAAGTGCTAGGATTACAGGCATGAGCCACCGCACCCGGCCTCAAACTTTTAACGAAACTTTTATCCTGTCATATATGGTATAATCCTTAGTAAAATGTAACTTTTGGATCTGGTTATACCTTGGAATTAGGACATGTGCTTTAGTACTCCTTGCTGAAGTAAACTTCCATGAGTTGTAATTTTGATGTATACCTTTAGAAGTGGCATGAGATAAAACTTTTGCTTGGTGCTCTTCACTTTCTTTTTTTCCGACTGCCTCTATGAGATTTTGTAGGTAGTGAAGTCTTTACCCTCCTAATCACCTAAAATGTTGTAAACACACAGAAGTCAGTCAAGCCAGTGTCATAGGTTCTAGACTATTCTTTCTCCTCAAGAACTAGAAGATATCCTTTAGGTACATAAGATGTATTGGGAAAAACAGATTCAATTTGAATTAAAATGACACAAGGTTAGCATCTTATGCTAGAAACTATAAGGCAATGACACTATAAGGCAGTTTCAAAACTGAAAATCCTAAATGAGCAGATGAATTTGAAAGAGCACAAGATTTAGCTTGGTATATGATCAACTCTCTAAAATAATTAGAGAATTTATAGAGTGGTTGAAGAAAATAAAGCAATATGCATTTAATTAATAGATGTGAGAAATAACCTGAAAAACTATTCAGCTGCTTCTTTTTTAATGCTCAAAGCATAAAGCAATAAAATTGAATTGTGTTTTCTTGATAGAGCTGAAAAGAGGATAAGTTATGGCAAAAAGTGCTTTTAGGCTGCAAATTTTATAAGAAGGATAGCATTAGGGGACATGGTGGGATAGCGTGCTGTCAATGTGAAAGACAAAACATATCAGGACATATGGGGAGTACAATGAAATTTGAAGAGAATTTTATAGCTAACTCATTAGCAGTGACAAAAATCAAAACCTATTAGAAGATTGGGAGCTTTAGATTCCTGTAAAAAGTGCCAAAAGATACCAGCAATACATCTGGGAACCACTCTTCAGATGTCAAGGAGAAAAACAGATCTTCAGATGAATTTACTTTCAGGCTGTTGATGTAGCCTTTTTTGTTGAGCAATGCCATTGCTGAGAAAAATTACCTCTCAAGAAAAAGAGCACAAGGAAAGAGTCAGCCATAAAACATAAATGGCTAGATTTTGCGAAAGCTAGATAGATGGTCACGTACTTGATAGATGCAAAGAAAGTTGGCTTCTAACTTTTTTTTTTTAACTAATACGGGATCAGTAGTCTTGTCTCATGAAGTGAAATTAATAACAAAGTCTTGGAAATCAGCCTCTAAGCTTGAGATTGAAGTCTCAGTTTCCATGTGTAAAGTAGCATGAACTCTTCTCCATTCTGTGGAAATACCTCATAAGACAGGATCTTAGTTTTTAGATAAAATGGGGAAAAATGAGTTACTGATTCGTACTAGGAGCAGGAAGATAATTTCTAGGGGTTTGTAGATCTTAAAATGAAAGTAAGTCACTTGAATTACTTGGTTCTGTTTGCACTACACTACAAGTGAGTAGATGGAAGAATAAAGATTAAGAAGAAACTGTTGAATTTCCTCTACTTAACTAATTAGAAATCTCGCTGAATGGTACTGAGGGAATTCTGTAATAGTTTAAATTTTTTAACTTGTATATAATTTACATACACATAATTAAAATACTCAGATTTTCAGTGTACAGTTGGATCAGTTTTGATAAATGCATACATTTGTGTAACTTACACCACAAGATGAGATATTTCTATCACTCCAGAAAGTTCCATTGTGTCTCTTGCCAGTCCAGTTCCCTCTCCACCAGAAGCAACCATGTGATCCGGATCTTGTTTCTACCACTATAAATTTTTTCTGTTCTAGAATTATAGAGTATTTTTGTGATTTCTTTAACTGAATATAATAAATTTTAAGACTCATCCATGCTCTGTGTATTAGTAGTTTGCTATTTTCTTTATGGCCTGAGAAAAACAAGTGTTCCGGTAAGGCAGAAAATCAATTGCTTAGAAATTAAAAGAAAGGACAAAAAAGCCATAAAGTTGTTAACAAGATTTCATTAGGCAGAATTTTAAAGTATTTAGGCTCTATGCTAAGGCAGCATGAGTGCTGACAATATAGTACGTCTTTCTAAGTCCCTAAACAGACAAGCACCTTGCATCAGTGCTTCAAGTAGCAAGCACTGACTATCCACTCCTTTTTTATTTTATTATTTATTTATTTATTTATTTTGAGATGGAGTCTCGCTCTGTCACTCAGGCTGGAGTGCAGTGTCAGATCTCCGCTCCCTGCAATCTCCAGCTGCCGGGTTCAGGTGATTCTTGCCTCAGCCTCCCAAGTAGCTAGGCCTACAGGTATGCCACCACTCCTAGCTAATTTTGGTATTTTTAGTAGAGATGGGGTTTCACCATGTTGGCCAGGCTGGTCTCGAACTTCTAACCTTAAGTGATCCACCTGCCTTGGCCTCCCAAAGTGTTGGGATTACAGGCATGAGTCACTGCGCCTGGCCCACTCCTTTATTTTACCTACTGAATTGTTTATTGAGAATCATGTTTGGTGTATGCTGTGGTTGTTTCCATTTGTTTTGCTTCAGCAAGCCATTTGTGTATGTGTACTAAACGTTAATATCACTGAATACCTTTTTTTGTTGTTGTTTTATATTTCATTTTTTTCAGTTTTCATTCTTTAATTTCATTTTTTTCAGTTTTCTTTCAGAGTTCCCCTTTATGTGCCAGGGATACATTCCAAGACCCCCTAGTAGACGCCTGAAAACATTGATACTACCAAACCCTATAAATACTGTATTTTTTCCTATGCCTACATATATGTGATAATTTATAAGTTAGGCATAGTAAGAGACTAACATTAACTAATAATAAAATAGAACAATTATAACAATATACTGTAATAAAAATTATGTGAATATGGTTTCTCTCAAAATATCTTATTGTACTGTACTCATCTTTCTTGGTGACCTGAAATGATCTGAAAAGATCTGTCAATCTGATAATTGAGACAGATCCGTCAGTGATAATTGGGTGTGTAGTATATATAGCGTGGATATGCCGGACAAAAGATGATTCATATCTCAAGTGAGACAGTACAAAATCTCATCACACTATTCAGGACAGTGTGCAATTCAAAAGTTATGAATTTTTTATTTAATATTTTTGGTCCTCAGGTTACTGCAGACAGCAAAACCACAGATAAAGAGATACCATCTCATGCCAGATAGAATGGCGATCATTAAAAAGTCAGGAAGCAACAGATGCTGGAGAGGATGTGGAGAAATAGGAATGCTTTTATACTGTTGGTGGGAGTGTAAATTAGTTCAATCATTGTGGAGGACAGTGTGGCGATTCCTCAAGGATCTAGAACTCTAGAACTAGAAATACCATTTGACCCAGCAATCCCATTACTAGGTATATACTCAAAGGATTATAAATTATTCTGCTATAAAGACATGTGCACACATATGTTTATTGCGGCACTGTTCACAATAGCAAAGACTTGGAACCAACCCAAATGCCCATCAATGACAGACTAGATAAAGAAAATGTGGCACATATACACCATGGAATACTATGCAGCCATAAAAAAGGATGAGTTCATGTCCTTGCAGGGACATGGATGAAACTGGAAACCATCATTCTCAGCAAACTAACACAAGAACAGAAAACCAAACACTGCATGTTCTCACTCATGAGTGGGAGTTGAACAGTGAGAACACATGGACACAGGGAGGGGAACATCACATACCAGGGCCTATCAGGAGATGATAGGCTGGGAGAGGGATAGCATTAGGAGAAATACTTAATGTAGGTGACGGGTTTATGGGTGCACAAACCACCATGGCACGTGTATACCAATGGAACAAACCTGCATGCTCTACAAATGTACCCCAGAACTTAAATTATAATAAAAATAAATAATTAAATTTTTATCATTTGATGGTGAACATTTCCAAACTTATTAACTAAATAGATACATTAAAGGAGTAATTCTCATCTGCTTTAAAGTTTATATTGCACCCAAATTTTGTTTTAAGTAAACATTTAAATTTGCTAATACTATTTGGATTCCTGGGTGTCAATGTTTTTTGCAAAAATTTTGTAGCTTCTTCCAACATTTCTTCTCTTTCATCTTGAAAGTGGCTTCTTGAAAAGGAAAAAACATCCCTTTAATGTGATATTATTAAGGTATCTCCATCATGATACCATGACAAGCATCTTCTAAATTTTGCAGTTCTAGAAAATCTCTCATCTATCGTTTCTTCAAATATTACATCCTCCTTCTGAGCCTCTGATTGTATATCCATTAGATCTTCTCACTGTATCCTCAATATCTTTCATTTTCCATTTTTCAGTCTCATTGTGCCATATTCTGGATTATAGCTTCTGATCCTCCCTCTAGGTCACTAAATCTCACTTCACCTTCTAATCTGTTGTTAAAATAATGGATTTAGTTCCTCAGTTTTTAAGAAATTTTTAAAAACTTCTAGATTCCCTCACAATTTTGGTCCAAATTATCTAACTTGCAATTACTAGAAATAGAAATCAGCATCTTCTAGATTTTTAAAGTTTATTTATAACTATTTTTGTGTCAGCTCTGTAATTCTTTCCTTCCCATGCAAACTTCTTTTTTAAAATCTTATTTAAAATAGCTTTGGAAATAGCATTGATTTAATTCATGGACAGCTTTCCATATGATATGTAGAACCACTTTGTTCTTTTATTATTTTTCTTTATTTTCTTTTATTTTTTCATTTTCCATCTGTGGGACTTATGGTAAAAACTTACAACTTGAAAGCCGTTTTTAAAATTAAGCCTCTAGGACACAAATTACATCTTATGCATCTCTTGGATCTTGATACTGACAATATTTAACACAGTGTACGGTATCTGGCAAATATGGAAATTTAATACTGGTTTATTTTGGCTTTAGAATTTGTTTCCGGGCTTTAGAATTTGTAAATGAAACATTTATTGAACATTTGCTGTGTAATAGGCACTGTGTTAATTGCTTGTCTGTGTAATACATTGTCTAAATAATCTTTACAACTCACTGATAAATGGTATGTTATTTTTCACAGAACAGAAAATTGGTGCTCAAGTATTTAAGTGCCTTTCAATGTAACAGAGGTTTGATAAGGGTATTTACAACAGTTTAATCTGAACAGGATCCACCAGTAGAATGTATTTATATTCTTCATCTTGTCTATATTTAGGATGTTTTCACAACAGTTTAAACAGCGTGACTTTTTATATTGTTGCAAAACATATGTTTGTATTAAACTTCCTGTATCTTTGGATTTGGGTTTTTTTTTCTGTCTTGTTCCCTAAATTATAGTTGAATATTTTCACTTAAAAATTCTACAAACTATGAAAGTATGGGAACAGAACAATGTTACCACTTTAATTTAGCTTAATCACCTGTAGGTCTGAAAAACAAGGTGGCCTTCAGTCAAATGAATTGAAACTTGACATAGTAAATCTTCAATTTAACCTTAAGTTTGGAGTTGGCATTTTTATTGTTAGAATGAGCCTTTAAAAAATACATGCAATTGACATTTTTGTTTTTAGAAATTGTGCGTTTCCCCCTAGTTTGCTGAAACTCTTTCTTATATTTAAAAAAAAAGATTTTTTTTTTACATTTAGAAGGTAATTTTTCTACCATATGTATTTGTTACATTAGGATTGCTCAGTCATAAGATAAGGGTTTTGTAAAGTGATGTGGCATTTTAATTTAAATAGATGCTTTTATTACCATTGATAAGGCAGAACACATTAATTAATGCCCTAGGTTTTGACGTAGTCATTGTGTAATTGTTAACTTGTTGAATGTTATTGCATGTTTTAATAAACAGAAGATACCTTTGGAAAAAATGTTGCCTACTTTCTCAGAACATAAATTTAGTTGTAAATGTCACAGGAGCAGTTTAGTAGATAAAAATGTAATTTTGGCTTACAATAGTAACTTGTTTTCTAGCTGTAAGTAAATGTGTGACATATCTTTGCTCTGAAAGCATAGACTGGAATTACAAAAATATTATTTCATAAAGAATTTTTAGAAATATCTTACTTAGAAAACATTACTAGAAATTGTCATTTATGTTGTAGTTTTTCTTTTTAGCCTTTTTAACCCTGTAAATAATCAAGACATTTTGTCATAAGATATTAAAATAATATGGAAGTCCAAGTAGTAAATCATGAGTCTTTGTTGATTAAAGAAATTCCTTAAATTCTCTGCCCCAGGATAGCTATTTTAAGTAGTTTGGTAAATGTCCCTAATCCTTTTTAAAAATACACATTTTCATACAAATGCACAGACACACAGTCACACACACACACACACACACACACACACACACACACACACTTCTTTTCACTTGTTTGGGATCTTTCCTTGTCAGTACATAATAAGTTTACCTCCCATTTTTTTAGCTGCTTAATATTCCTTATTATTAATGTACTGTAATTTATTGAACCATTATCATGTTGACAGCATTTAAGTTGTTTATAAATTTTATTCTTATTTTATATGGTGGTTAAGAGTACTGTCTTATGAACCAGACTGCCAAGGTTTGAATCCCAACTTTGTCATTTACTAGCTCTGTAATTGGGCAAGTTATTCATCTTTTCAGTTTCATTCTTATAGTAGGGGATAAAAATACCACTCACATCATAAAGTTGCTTTGTGTTTAGAACAGTGCCTAGCCACAGAGTAAGCATCAGATGTTTGTTTGCCATAACGATGATAATATCCTTGGTACGCGTTAATTCTGTAGAAGACTTCCAGAAGTAGAATTGCTCAAAAGGTTTGCACATTTAAAATCTTGCAAGTTATATCCAAACTGTCCTCCAAAAAGTTTTTTCCACTTTACATTTGTAGACCATGTGAAAGTATCCATTTTGTTTTTGGCATTCTTGCTAACATATTGTTAGGCTTTGTGGTTTGAACAATATCATGGATAAAAGTGAGCATGTTATAGTTTTGTTATTTTTCTGATTTTTAATTAGTTTGAACATCATTCCTTATGTTTTTAGCCTTTTATATATTTGTAATAAATTGCCCCATTATCATTTTAAAATTTATCTCTTACCTACATATAGGAGCTGATTTTACCTTTGTTAGCAGTTTTACCTGTATGCAAACAATGATAGATATCTTAGGGTTATCTTGCATATTTAAGACATATGTTAATACTGCTACTCAGATACCTGGAAATCTACCTGGACCTTTTGAAAGCATAAAATAGGATAGAGGTGAAGAAAGCCAGTTGATGAAAAGCTCTTGGCACTAATTTTTCAAAACACATGCACAAAAACCAAGATCACACACAAACACCTTTCAAATTCTGACTTGACTTTTATCTTATTAGTGTCTGGTACATGGTAGGAAATTACTATTTCTACATTGAACTCAATTCTCCATCAAATAGACTACCCTTTGATAAGTCTTATTGATTATAATAATGTTAACACACACTGATTAGTAGTGTATAATAAATTATACACTACAAAAATAAAGTAGATGTAATAAAATTATACCACTACCTCCTTATAAAATTAGTTTGTTTGAGAATTTAGCTTTTTTATCTTTGGCTATGCTTTAAATTCTAAATTTGAAATGACAGCTTAATTGCTTTCATTTAAAAATGTGATTTTTTTTTTCCTCTTACATCTTTTAGGAAAAAGGCTTTCCATACCCTGTCCTGAAGTACTAATAGCTGATATCAGTGAACTAGTGTATGAGTTTATAATTTATTGTTTATAAATTGTCTAACTTTAGTGTATTGGTTTTCAACAGTATAATGATAACCAGAAATTCTCAACAAGAATCCCTCCAAAAAAACTCTGCTATGCTTGAATAAAACCCTGCTATACTTTCTTTGTAATTTTTTACATTGTTTCATCTGCCATTTTATTGTAAAATTGTATTATAATGGCAAAATAGTCATAATTTTCATTGTTAAAATTAAGCAAAAATGTATTTTGAGTTACGCTATTAAGAAAAATTGAAGATTACTTATTTGTGAATGATCTTGGACTCAGAATTTATGTCCCAAGTCCTGTTACTATAAGCTTCATGACCTTGCTAACTTCTGAAACTGAACTTTTATTTTTCATTTATGGTATAAGATAAGAAAATTTGTTTCACTGATTTTGCTGAATTCTTGTGACAGTCAGATGCAATATCATGTAAAATTGTTTTGTAAAAAGTGTTGCATATAAATATAACAAGTTTCTAAAAAAATGGCTGATGCCATTAAAGAATCACACTTTAGTTATGACTGTACTACTAAGCAGATACCAGGAGTACCTATTAATAATTAGGGATAGTATGTTTTCAAGGAAATAGTAAAAATAAATTATCTACATAAAAAGTTTACACATAAGAGATATGTTACACAAAATTATAGAAGTATTTATAATAAATGTGTAATCCCAAAAGAATTAATGAAAATTTTGCATGTTCCTAAAACAAGCAGTAGGATGATTAACAAGCAAAGTCAGAAATATGGTCCTCATCCATTCCTTAATTCTAATCTAGTTAAACATGCATTTTCTAGGTGAGAGAGAACAATATTTTTCTTTCTTGGAAGCATCACTTGGATTTGTTTAACTCTTCTTTTTAATCTTTTATGGAGAGGAGGTAGTGAAGTTTCTTCTTTCACATAATAAAAATATGTTTTCATATGAGTGTTTTAGCTCGTATACATATTTGTTTTCAAATTTTGCTAAATTTTATGCATCCTGGTAGTTTTTCAAATAACTGACAAGGTCCCCCTTAATTTGTATGTTATTCATTTTTATTAAACAGATAACAGTGTCATTAAATCTTGGAGTATCTTGTAATTAACATTCCCTATTTGAATGTGTTCTTCCTGAACATATAGTAGAATTCATTTTTCTTTATCCCTTTTTGGCTGGCTAAAATATTTTATTTAAAATAAAGCAAGGGACTTTTCTGACACCTTATTTATATTTTCAGTGACAAACTGTAAAGGAACACTGACTTAAAGCAGATTTCTTTTTTGCTAATATGTTTAACTTTTAACTATTAGAATTCTGAATAATTTTTTAAAATAAATTCTTTCCTTGTTTTACCTGTTCTTATTAGAGCTGTTAGCATATCAAAACTGTGGTTCACACAGTCTTTGAAAAGCCATGTTTTGCCTAATTATTGTAATTTTGCTTTAAATATGTTTTAAATAAAATAATATAATGTGGTTAAAGGACCCTTTGTATCCTCCCCAATCATATTCCCTTTCCTTCTTTCTTTCTTATAGAAGCAACTACAGTCTTGTAATTTGTGTGTATTTTTTCTGCCCAAGTTAAATTACACATATGATCATCCATCTGTGCGTGTGTATATAATCATCCATAAACATTATATAATGCCACTTGACATACTTTTTATTCCACTTACTGAGATCTAATTTACAAAATGAAATGCACAGATCTTCAGTGTAGATTTTTTATTGTGACACATATACCCATGTAACCCACATCTCTTTCAAAATATAGAACATTCTTCCTCACCCTAGGAATCTCCCTTAGGCCCCTTCCAAGATAATCCCCTGAACCCAGAAGGCAACCACTCATTTTTTTTTCCTACCCTGCATTAGTGCTGTTTACTACATTATGCAGTATTGTACTTCTTAATGTCTGAATTCTTTTGCTCAGCATGTTTTTGAGAACCTATGTTTTGTGTATCAGTAGTTCATTTCTTTTTATTGCTGAGAAATGTTCTAATGTTTGGATATATTAAAGTTTGTTTATTCTCCTACTTTGCTTTTCGTTATTAATATCTAGCTGAATTCCACTATGGTGAAGGAACATATTCTATATTATTTCAGATCTTTGAAATTTGTTGAGATGTTCTTTATAACCCAACCTATGGTCAATTTTTGCACTATAAAATAATGTGATTTGGCAATGGTTGGGTGTAATGGTCTACTGTGATACTGTGATATAATAAATATATATTTGGTCTTTGTCCCCTGGTTCCTGGCACAGCTCCTTCATGCCTTGTAATTTATTGAATGATAGGGGTGATCTTTTGAATGATATAAAGCATGTTTGGTTAAAATATTTGGTCTTAACCACTGGTTCCTGACACTAGAACTTCTGAAAGCCTTGGAATCTCCCAAATGATAAGAGTCTTTAGACATCTCATACTAATGAGATGACTGGTTGTGGGGGACGGAGGCAGAAAGACCAAGACATGATTAAAGGGTAGAAATTTTTAACACTACCCCCTGACCTCCACAGAGAGAGGAGAGAGACTGGAGATTGAGCTAATTACCAATGGCGAATGATTTAACCATTCCTTCATAAAAAACCCTAAACTGTAGGATTTGTAGAGAGCTTTTGAGTTGGTGAACATGAGAAAGTACTGGCAGAGTAGCATGGTGAAATCTCACACCATCCCTCTCCTTCCCACCTGGGAGGTAAATTATCTCTTTGTTCAGTGTATCTGGACGAAGACTCTATACACACTAACTGCCCGTTCGTCATCTACATTATCTTCTGACATCCAACCATTGACATTGTCGTGGCTTGATAATGTAGGATCACCAGAAGCAGATGATCCTCCTTCTAATGTATTGTGTATACATTACAGAAGGTCAAAGTAGCTTAACACTATGTCACGATGCCTGTCATTCACCCTGCTTCATCTCTTCACATAGGCATTTTATCATTACATACCATCACAAGAAGAAAAAGGGTGAATATAGTACAATAAGATATTTTGAGAGAAAGATCACATTTACATAACTTTTATTGAGTATATTATTGCAATTGTTTTATTCTTAGTTCCTGTTATCTCTTACTGCTCCTGATTTGCAAATTAAATTTTTTCATAGGCACATATGTATAGGAAAAAACATAGTATTTAAATGGTTCACTACTATCTGTGGCCTCAGGCATCCACTGGGGGTCTTGGAGCATATCCCCCATGGATAAAGCAGGGACTACTGTCCTGATTTTTTTTTTTTTTTACTTCCGTGTTCTATCAGTTACTGAGATTTGCATTTTGGTCAACTTTTCCTTACATCTTTTAAGCCTCCTATATCCCTGATGCATTGACCTTTTACCTTTATGAAGTGTACCCCTTTGTATGTAGTAATTCTTACTTCATTATAATATACTTAATCTAATATTGGTATAGGTATATCAGCTTTCTTGAGCATGTGTATAGTGTTTTTCCATATTTTTGCTTTCAGCCTTTCTGTGTGCTTTTATTTAAAGTAAGTAATATATAGTTCCCCTTTTTTAATCCAGATTGATTGACAGTAGTTTTCTTTTCATTGTTTAGTCTACCTGCCTTTAATGTGCACACTGATCGGTGTTTCATTAGTCAGTGCTCTTTTTTCCCAGTTCTGATTATTTTTTGATTAATCAAATATTATTTTTTATTATTCCATTTTCTATCTTTCTGTAGTTATTCGTTCTTTTATTATTCTTTGAGTGGCTACCCTAGAGATTATAACATACATTCTTTACTTATTAGAGTCTACTCTAAATTAGTACTTTTAACAATTCCTGGACAATGCAGGAATCTTAGAATATTTTAACCTCATTTTTGCCCATTCCACCCCTGTATTTGTGCTATTGTTGTCATATATTTTGAATCTATCGCTATTTTTTTTTTTTGAGATGGAGTTTCGCTCTTTGTTGCCCAGGCTGGAGTGCAGTGGCGCAATCTCGGCTCACCACAACCTCCGCCTCCCGGGTTCAAGAGATTCTCCTACCTCAGCCTCCCAAGTTGCTGGGATTATAGGCATGGACCACCACGCCTGGCTAATTTTGTATTTTTAATAGAGACAGGGTTTCACCATGTTGGTCAGGCTGGTCTTGAACTTGCAACCTTAGGTGATCTGCCTGCCTTGGCCTCCCAAAGTGCTGGGATTATAGAAATCTATCTCTATTTAAACCTCACAATTTATTATTAGCATTTTAGTATTGCTATCAATTATGTTATTATTACCAACTTTTATTTGGATTTACCCACATACTCATCTTTATGGCTCTCTTCATTCCATCCTCTATTTTCATATTTTAAACAGGGATTTAATCAGGGATCATTTTTCTTCTGAAAACCTTTTTTAAATACATCTGCTGGTGACTGTGTTTTTGTTTCAAAGCATTTTTATTTTGAATGTATTTTTATTTTGCTTTTCATTTTTGAAAGTTATTTTCACTGGGTATAGAATTCTAGGTTAGCATTACTTTCTTTTGGTACTTTAAAGCTATCATTTTGTTGTCTCTTATTTTTACTGAAAGCTTCTATGCCCGACAGCATTAACTCAAGCATACTCTGATAATGACCCTATGGTCTAAGGAGAGTATGTGTTTGGAGTTCTGAGCTAAAGAATCTGGGAGTAGCCAACCTAGAGATTCACTTCTTATCTAAGAAGGGCATCTGAACCCCTGGCCCATTCCTTGGAATACAGGCCATACAGGGGATTCAGACCCTTTGTTTTGGGTTAGATGGAGGTTGCTAGGTGGAGATTGCTAAGTAAAAATTCTGTGTAACTTGTACACTTCTTAGAAATAGTTGCAGTTTTCCTAATCAGCCCATTGCTCCTGGACCACCTTATGTATGTCTTTAATAAACCCTATGGCTCGTTCACTGGCTTGGGGTTTCCTCTTCAGCCTCTCAAACATGGTGCTATCCCTATTTGAGTCAGTAGAGGTCCCACACAACAATTGGCAATCCAGCTAGGAAGTTGGAAAGAATCCTGTGAGCACCAAGATGATGCGATCAGGGAAAAGGAAATCCACAAGGGAAACGCTGGGATGGCCATCCACATCTATGTGAGGCCCAATGACTGCTATCCTTGATGGATGAGGCCCACTGCATGAGTATGGGGATGCCCTCATAACATCAAAAGGTCTGGAAGAGCTGGTGCAGGGGGTAGATCCAACTAAGTGAAAGTCACATGCCCACGCTGTGATAGCCATAGTTCATTGGCAGCTCCTGTGTGTCGAGGAGCCGTGGAGGCTGAGGTCACTGCACAGGCAAGGGTGCATCAGTTACAAGACAAGCTGTGATTAGAAAGAAATGCTTAGTTAGCTCAGACTAAAATGTTGGAGACCTAACTGTCCTGCCTGTGCAAACAAAATGACAGAATGGACACTCTGGCTTACCACGTAACTCATTTGAAGAGTCTTCAACTGTCAGGCTGACAAGTTAGGGCTGTCAGGAATAAATCATCCTGGGACACTAAGTCCTGGGACCCCATGGAGAGCTCTAGTGGGAAGGAGGAAGAGGACTGGGATGAGTCCATAGAGGTTCCCATACTGTCTGCATGTACATTGGCCACCACCAAGGTAAAAGTGGACCCCACAAAAGGAAGCCCCTCAAGACTTGCCCTGCCTGAAAGAGGGCAGCACACCACAATGTGGTATTATACCACTGTGGAACTGGGAAATAGGTTCAAACAGAAGGGGAGAGAGTCAATCATAGGGTGGTTTCTCTGTCAATGGGATGTAGGGGTAGAGAATACTATACTCTCTAGATTCGAGATGAATAAAATGGCATCCATCACAAAGCACCTGGTCCTGAGGCAGCATTTCTATGGCACCAATCATGGGGATCAGACCATCCCCCTCCTTAGCTGAGTGGTTGTGGGCTTCAAGGGGGCCTGGCCAAATGAGGGAGACATCTCCACATCTCCTTTGCAATGGCAGACTATGAAAAAGTTGCAGGACCTCCTCTGGGAGTTGGGGATGAAACATGCTATTAATATTTATGCTAAAAATCAGCACGATCCCAAAAGTGAATTGGTTACTGCCAGAATAAAAGAGAATTCTGCAGTTGACACCTAAGTAGTGATATAGGATGCCAGTTTCTGTCTTAAGCACCCTAATATGGAAGCCAGTATCCTGGGCAGCCCAAGTGACCCTCGACTTAAGGGAAACAAAAACTGCATAAGTAAGAGGTATGCACTGCTGGATGAAAGACAAAGGAGTCAAAAAAAAAAAAAAGGAAACAGTCAAGGGGCTTATCAGAGTGATTTGCCAATAGATGTAGGCAACCTGCTAATGGCAGGGATACCTACTGAAAAAAAAAAAAAGACAGCCTAATACTGTTTGGGTTAGACTGTAATAAAAACTCAAGCCGGAGCAGCACTTCACTAAGGAGCCTCAGGTTCAGCCCACCACCCCTCCCACAGAGAGATGGCAGGCACTAACCCCTTTAGCCTAAGATAAAGGCCAAGGCCTCAGAATCCCAGTACAAACAGTGATGGCCAGGGACCAGAGGCCTCATATAAAAACTATATATAGGTCACCTAAAAATAGACTGTGCTTGCTCTAGTGCAGTGGTCCCTCACCTTTTTGGCACCAGGGACCAGTTTTGTGGAAGACAGTTTTTCCTAAGACTAGGGGCAGGGGGATGTTTCGGGATGAAACTGTTCACCTCAGATCGTCAGGCGTTAGATTCTCATCAGGAGCATGCAACATAGATCTCTCGCATGCGCAGTTCACAATAGGGTTCGTACTCCTATGAGAATCTAATGCCACCACTGATCTGATGGGAAGTGGAGCTCAGATGGTAATGCTCGCTCACCTGCCACTCACCTCCTGCTCTGCGGCTCAGTTCCTAACAGGCCACAGACCAGTGCCAGTCTGCTGCCTGGGGGTTGGGGACCCCTGCTATAGTGGATACTGGAGCCAAGTGCACTCATATATGGTAACACCTATCGGTTCCAAGGACCTATAACAGCAATAGATAGTAAAGGGTGATGGGGAATGAGGTATAAATGTTGAACTAGTATTACAAGTTGGGAGACTGTCACGAAGACCCTATTTAGTATATATAGCTCCTGTCCCAAAATACATCTTGGGAACGAGTATTTTGTCAGGCTTGACCCTCCAAACTGCCAAAAAATTCCAACTGAGAGTTAGGATGACAAAACATAATCACGGTAACACAAAATGGACACCAATACAGTTGCCCAGCCCCATAGCAAATAGTAGTGCTGAAGCAATACCACTCGTGAGTGGGGCTTGGGGGCATGATAAAATCACAGAAAGTATTAAGGAGTTAGCCCAGGTGGACATTATAAGGCCAGTAGTGCACAGCCCATACAACAACCCTGTATGGCCTGTGCAAAAACCTGACGGGACTTGGAAAATAACAATACATTACCAGAAATTAAAATATCACTTCCCTTCTGATGAAAATAGGACAGGTGCTTGGTACGTAACGTTTTCTTATTAATTTAACCAAGCCTTCTTCAGCATCCCCATTGCCCCAAAGACAAGACCAATTTACATTCACCTAGAAAGGAGAACAACGGACCTTTACCATCTTGCCCCAAGGATATTTACATAGCCCCACTATCTGTGAGGGTCTAATGACCACAGACGTCAAATGTCAGTCGATGGACTACCCTGGAGAGGGTACATGTTTTCCATTAAATTGATGATATCATGCTAAGTCTTTTTCTACCTCACAAACTGCAGCCCCACCTTTGGGTTAGTAATGGAGGTTGCTAGTCCCCACCTTGCCGTCTCGCTTGGCAAACGGAGTATGGGCAGCACAGACATTTAAGGGTCCAGGTTTATTAAATATTCGGTGTCATCTGGTTGGGTAAGACTAAAGTCAAGTTGTTCTTTCTGCCATTATAGATAAGGCGTAGGACTACCCGCGTCCTACCACACCAAAGCAGTTGCAGACCTTCTTAAGCTTTATAGGGTATTAGTCCTTTTATTCCCCATTTGGCCCAACTCCTCAGGCCCCTATACCACTTAGTCAAGATGGGGGCTCACTGGAACTGGTCCACAGAGAAAGATGAGGCCTTTAAACAAACTAAAGTCATAATGAAACAAATATAAATTCTGGAAACTCTAGTACAGGGACAACCTTGTGAATTGGACATAGCCAGTTACCCTGAGGGGTGTGCCATTAGGGTTCTAGTCCCAACTATGGAAGGGGGCTGAAGCTAAATATATCATCATGGAGCAACAACTCAATGCTAAATATCACCTCTTACAACATGCCAACGTGACAAAGGGGCTCCCAGTGCTGGTATGCACTCAGTATCCCATAGCAGTTTGGTTAAAGGATACCTCCCGGAAACCAAAGTCTGGGAATTCCCAGAGACAGATGTGGCCAAATAGCATACATACTTGCAACATTAGGCTCCAAACAAAGGGAGCACATCAATAGTTCCTTAAGTGCAGAGTTCCATTTGGTGCTCAGCCCTGTCACCTGTTTGACAACTGAAGGACAGTCTTTGATTGAGGTCACTGAGCCAGGTTTAATTAACTCTCAAGTGCTTAGAAAAACCTTCAGTACAGTATGATTTCTAGTATGTTCGTTATTCTCTTTTGTTAATAGTTTGTATTGCTGCCACAGCATTTGGCTGCACATACTGCTCCTCCACATACCTGGCCCCCAAAAATCACTCAAAAAAAACATGATAAAAATATGAGGGCCATTCAAGAATATGCTGAGATGGAGTGAATGGCAGATGCACTTTACAGCAGTAACTCCAGCATACCCTAAGAACGGCCGTATGGTCTAAGTAGAATGTGTGTTTGTGTTCGAGCTTCCAAGCTAAGGAATCCGGGAGTGGCCAACCCGAAGATTCACTCCTTACCTATGAAGGACATCTGAACCCCTGGCCCATTTCTTGGAATGCAGGCTGTACAGGGGATTAGAGACCCTTTGTTTGGGGTTAAGTGGAGGTTGCTAGGTGAAGATTGCTAGGTGGAAATTACAAAGTAAAAATGCTATGTAACATAAATGCTTTTTACAAATGGTAGCAATTTTCTTGTCCAGCCTGTCACTCATGGACTGCCCTGTAAGTTCTCAGTAAACTCTATGTCTCATTTGTTGATTCTGGGTCTCTCCTTCAACCCCTTAAACATAGTGCCATCCCTATTGGAGCCAGTAGGGGTCCAGCACAACAAGTCAGCTGTTACTCTTATTGTTGATTCTTTGAAGGTATTAGATTTTATCCTCTGGTTGTTTTTAATATTTTCTGTTGGTCTTTTTTTTTAAAAAAAAAAAAACAGCTTTGCTATGATATCCCTATGTATAGTGGGGTTTTGTTTTTGTCCCACAGGAATTCTTAAATCTGTTGTTTGATGTATTTCATTAGTTTGGGAAACTTTTCAGGCAGTATGTCTTAAGATACTGCTTTTTCTTCATTCTCTCTCCTCTCCAATTGAGATTTAAACCATTACATCTATATCCCATTTGTTTCTTAACACTCTTTTCTTCCTTTATCTTCTCCATATTCACACTGGGTATTTTCTTTTGGTCTATCTTCCAGGCCATTAATTCTCTTCTGTAGCTAATCCACTATTAAACCCATCTATTAGCTTTTCGATTTCATTAATCTTGTTTCTTAGTTCTACAATTTACGATGCCTGGTAGCTTTTGGTTGAATGCTGGATATTATATAAAACTTTGGTACAGGTCTGTTTGCTTCCAGAAAATATTTAATTTTCTTCTGACTGATAGTTGGAATAAGGGCAGATCACGTCAATTAAATCAAGGATTAAGATGGTTCAAGGCTGGATTTCAGGATCAGTTTATTTCCTGTATTTTCCACAGTCTCAATTCAAACTTGGGGTGTTTATCTGAGCCACTCTCCCTTTGAGGATCATGAATGCCAATTTTTATTTCCTCTGCTATTTGTGGGAATGCTCAAAGCCCTCTTAGCATCTAGTTTTAGCTTGGTGGTTGTAGTCTTCTTCAGCCCCTGAAAATACTTTGAAGGCAGAAGTCCGACAGAAGATCACTTCTCTGCAGGGTCACCTTTCTGTTACTCCCCTTTTTCCAGATTCTTGATTCTTGAAGTTCTCAGTGCTTTAGTAGACCTGAACTCCAGTTTTTGTGTTGGAGTTCCCCATCACCATAAGAAGGCCTAAAGTTACTGCTTTCTGCTAATGCTACCCATTAGCACTTGCCAATGCTAATTGGCAAATGTCTAAAAGCAAAAAGTGGAAGAGGATATAAAACTCAATTCACCAAATGCTGCTTTTCTCTCCAGGAGCTTGGCTTCTCCTGTTCTGGCAACCTTGGTTTTTCTACTGTGTCTCCAGGCATATTTGTATTTTATCAGCTTTTACAGTCTTTTTCAGTGGGAGGTTTGATCTAACAAAACTTTTCTGATAGCTGGAAATGGATATCTAATTCCTAGCATTTTATCATTGTCGAAATTTCCTTTATCATAGTTGTTTCATTAATCTCTCAACTATAAACTGAGTGTATTAAGCAGATTAAAAAGATTAGATAATACCGAACTATATGCAAAAATATGACATGAAGACCAACCATTTTACCCCAGTACAGAGACGTGACAAATACATCATTGTGAAAATATATTATTTTTCTGTCAGATTGAGTTTTGCTTTCTGCTTTTCTTTGAATGCCCTCTAGTGGAAATTTTATTGAAATGAAATAACCAGAAATTGAGACTAACAAAAGGTTCTGTATCATCCAGAAATAAAGTTTAATTATGGGTACATCATGTACGTAAACTTTATTCTTTTTAACCAACTTTTATTTTTTTAAGTTTTATTGAAATACAATTACATATTGTAAAGCTTAAAGTGTAGAATTCAATGGTTTAAGTATATTTACGGCATTCTGAAACCATCACCATTATCTAATTTTGGAACAATTTTATCATTCCCCAAAGAAACTTAATATGCATTGGCTGTCATTGATTCCCACCCAAACCTCCCAGCCCCCACCCCTTAGCAACCACTAATCTACCTTATAACTCTATAGGTTCGCCTGTTCTGGACACTTTACATGTAGCCAACTCTTGAATGTAAAAAATTTTGAGGAAGCCTGGTAGATGAAGAAAAAAAATCACTTAATGTCATTGATTTTTAAAATTGGTTTCTGTTACACAATTAATACATGCTAAACGCTAAGAGTTAGAAGATGAAAGACTCAGTCCTTGTGTCAAGAATTTGACAGTACGGAAGAGATTCCAAGGCTATAGGCATTTACAATATAGGAAGATTAGAGGTAGTAGAAAGTGTCTCTAGGAACAAAAACTGGGAAAACTTAACTGAGATGCAGATGACAAGTGAAACCTTCCTAGAGGTTCATTCCTCAAACTTAGTTGTTTTTTATTGTTTGGTTTTTGGGGTTTTTGTTTTGTTTTGTATTTTTTTAGCATTTAGTTTCAGCTTCGTTCAGTTTTGAGACACAGTCTTGCTCTGTGCCCAGGGTGGAGTGCAATGGTGTGATCCTGGCTCACTGCAGCCTCGACCTCCTGGGCTCAGGCCATCCTCCTGCCTCAGCCTCCTAAGGAGCTTGGACTACAGGTGCATACCACCATGCCTGGCTAATTTTTTAAATTTTTTGTAAAGACAGAGTCTCACTAT
This sequence comes from Homo sapiens, assembly GCF_000001405.40. Lineage (NCBI taxonomy): Eukaryota > Metazoa > Chordata > Mammalia > Primates > Hominidae > Homo > Homo sapiens. Next base: position 117,399,044 of record NC_000007.14, on the reverse strand, counting down.
GTTGCCCAGTCTGGTTTCGAACTCCTGGGCTCACATGATCCTCCTGCCTTGACCTCCCAAAATGCTGATACTACAGGTTTGAGCCACTGCGCCCAGCCTCAAACTTAGTTTTGAAGGATAAGTAGGAGTTAGCCAACTGAAGATCATAAAAATGAATATTCAGTTTAGAGGTAGGTGCACGTGCAAGTGGAGAAGGAGGAAAGAGCCTGTTTCATTTAGGCAGTTGTAAACAGTGTATCTAGAAATATTTTAACCAGCTCATGAGATATTAGAGTAGAAAGTGGGTCAGAATTGATGCACTTTGGCAGAGGCTAGATAGTAACCTGTGTAATCCTACTGAGAGATACGAATTTTTATCATGAAAGCTATTGAATAATTTAAGAATAATGAACATACTAGTATTTTGTAAAGGTTATTCTGACAGCAGATGGAGGATAAATTGGAATCAAGAAATCCAGTTAAAAGATTATTGCAAGAGCAACTAAACAGTGTTTCATCAGCACTATACCTGCCAGTATGTATAGAGATACTTCTCTCTTTTATAGTGGCTGTACAATATTCCACTGTATGGATGTGATATCTTAATCCAGTATTTCATTGAAGAACACTTGGATTGTTTCCATTTTTTTAGTTTCACAAAAAAATACTTCAGTGAACATCTTTGGCAACTTGAATAGATTTTTTGATAGAACACATCTCTAAAGTGGAGCTGCTGAGACAAAGGTAGATGTGTATTTATAATTGTGATAGTGTTATGGGAAGATAGGCCTTGAGCGTGAGACATCCAGGTTCTTGGCGTGTTGAACAGAGTTGAGCAAAATGCACAAAGTAAGAAAGGTACGAAACAGCGAAAGTAGGGATATATTGAAGCGAGATAGCACTCCATAGGATAGGAGTGTTTTAAGCAGATTAAAAAAGATCAGATAATACTGAACTGTATATAAAAATATGACATGAAGACCAACCATTTTACCTTTAGTACAGAGAAACAAAAATACATCATTTGTGGTTCAGGGGCCCTGCTCACAAGGTTTTCTGGGGTTTAAGTACCCTTTTTGAGGTCCCTATTGGCTACCCACTATGTGGATGAAGGATTTGGCCTGTGGCCGATTAATAGCTGAGGTGAGTTCGCCTGTGGACAACCAGAGGCCAGAGTGGACTGGCACCCTATGCAGATAAAGGGATAGCCCATGCTTGGCCCACAGCCAATCCATGGCACTTTCCCTTTCCACCTGAGACTTAGTGGAACAGAGAGGCTTGTAGGGGGAGTAGCCTCTGATCCTTTGTTACTAGGCTGTGGAGAGATGGGGATTTTTCTTTTGATCCTGCTTTAGGAAGTTAGCATGAATTGGCCTTATGTTCTCTGCCTTCAGACCCAGGTGTTTTCCTCCAGCTTTAGGAAATTAGCACGAATTGGCCTTAAATTCCCTGCCTTCAGACCCTATTCTCCAGCCTCAATAGGTGTTACCAAATCGTCTTCTGAAAAAATTGAAAACATTTACACTATCTCCAACAGTACTTGAGAGGACATACATAGTGACAGCACTAGATATTTTTTATGTTCTCAGCTTTACAGTTTGATTGCAAGTAATGATCCCTCATTTTAGTTTGCATGCTTTTTAATAATAATTGATTAGTCTTGCGCATTTTTGTAAGTTGTTTGTATTTCTTTGTCTACTAATTGCCTGTGTACTTTGTAGTTTTGCTGTTTGGTGGTTCACATGTTTCTTACTGATTAACAAGAATCTTTTGTATATTGGATCTTTTACTTTGGTTTTTTATTGCGTTTGGTTTGGTTTGGTTCGGTTCGGTTCGGTTCGGTTCGGTTCAGTTCGGAGACAGAGTCTCACTATGTTGCCCAGGCTGGTTTTGAACTCCTGGGCTCAAGAGATACTCCTGCCTCAGCATCCCAAGAAGTTGGACTATAGGTGTGTGCCACCATGTCTGGTAGGTATTTTTTAATTCTTTTAGGTATTTTAATTATTGTTATTAAATTAAATAATTTTATTTTTAATTAATTTAATTATTTTAATACATGTTGTAGATGCTATTTCTAGTTTGGTTTTTGTTTATGCTTTAAAATTTTTTATGTTGTGATTTTGAATGCATTTTTTGAGAAAAAATGTCAGAAAGATAACTTCCAAAAAAAGTGTTAGGCTCAGAGATTTTAATAGGTTACTTATTTTAAACTTCCAAGGAATAGATTACATTAATACTATCAAAACCTAAGGGAAAAAAAAGCCTTTCATTTCTTGTTTATAAAGCAAACATAACACTGATTCTGAAATCCAATTTAACAAAGATCCACTTAAAGAAGTCTTACAAATCAATCTTAGTTATGAACATGGATACACAAATCTTAACCACTTGAAGTATTAGCAAATTTAATGTTATCAGCAAAGTAAATGAATAATATACTGTGATCAGATTGATTCATGTCATCTATACAAAAATGGTTCAATATTAGGGAAACAATTACATAAATAGGTCAGAGGATTTTTGAGGTGGTTATCATTATAATAGATGCCAGAAAGATATTTTATAAAAGTTAAAATCTCTGATTTTTATAACCTTAGTAAAATATGATTAGATGAGTAGCTCCTTAATTTCGAAAACATATATCTGAAGACAAAACAAATTACACGTTTAATGGAGAAGCTAGCAGCATTTGCATTAATGTCAGCAACAAGGAAAGGATGCTTGTTGTAAGCACTTTTAGTTTTACCATTGTTTTGGGAACTGTAAGGCAATTCAGTTATGCAAGAAAAATACAAGATGTAGTTAATAATAAAAATACCTATTAATGACTGAGAATTTACTTTGTGCATGGTACTGTTCTTTGTTACTGAATATTATTATCTCATCACAGATTGTGATACTAACACAAATAGGTGTCACAAATATAGAAACTATTTTATGCTCATATAAAGTTGTAGAAACTGAGGCAGTGAGAGTTTAAGAAACTTGTCTAAGCCAGTAAATGTTGAAAGCTAGATTTGACCTAGGCATTCTGACTCCACAGCTTAACATTCTAAATCAGAGGTTGGCAGACTTCTTAAGTTTCACTGGAACACAGCTGTGCTCATTTGTTTATGTATTGTCTATGGCTATGTTCATGATACAACAGCAGAGTTGAGTGGTTGTAACAAATCCCTGCATGCATCACAAAGCCCAAAATATTTACTGTCTTGCCCTTTACAGAAAAAATTTGCTGACTGCTGATGTAAACCATTGAACTATGCCTCTAATTAAACTATTACATCTTTTTTATTAGGAAAAGGAGAACAAAATCATAATTTTTAAATTATATTAATATATACTTGGTAAACCGAAAATAGTCAACTCAGAAATAACAATCATACAGTGTAGTAGTTTTTACAAAACTAATGTGCAAACTTCATTTGGTTTCCAACTCACAAGAAACGAAAAGCTTGAGATTACAATTTGATTTAAAAATGTGAAAGGTCTAAATGAAGAAAAATGTAAAACTACACCAAGTAAAATAAAAGAAGATTGAATATACACGTCATGTTGGCTGGATGTTGGTTGTCATCTTGACTAGGATGAATCAGTATTTAAAAAGACATTTTTAAAAATCTAAATATATAGAATTAAACATCGTATTCAGAGTGCCAAACAGATTGTTTTGACTTGATGAAATGATTCTAAAAATTCTGGAAGAAAAACATGACCAAAAAAAGAATTTTTGGAAAAATAGGCTTATGAATTCAAGCTCTTAAACTGAGAATATGCTAAAGTCTTGCCCTTCCACAGAAAGCTTTAGATACAAAGCTATTAAAATATTTTGATAAAGTTATTTTTGAAAGAAAAAAGTTATCTCTGGAATGGAAAAAGAGTCGCTCGCCAAAGAAAGAAACAGATGGGAAACTCTAGCAATACCTAAAATCTGCATTACTGATAGACAAGGTTATCTTGTCTTCTGTGTTTGGAGGCCTTTGCCATAGACCAGAAGGTAGGTGCACAACCAAAAATCACCAAAATCTGAAGAATGTAGGTGTCATGAAACAGGGACAACAAATTCAACAAAAGAGTGACTTAAACTAGAGAAAGTGGGAAAAATAGAGGAATCTAAAAAGGCCTTTATTCCTGAACAATAAAAGAGGGATTTGCCTTCACAAAATAACAATAGAAATGAAAAAACAAGCACAGTGAATTATGAAAAAAGGAACTATTGAATATTAAAACTAAGTATTTGTGTAGAAGAGGTAGAAGAGTAGATGGGACTCATCTGAAGAGCTGAGTAGTGGACTAGAAGATAGAGGTGAGGAAATCTCCAAGAATACAACACAAAGGGCTAAAGAAATGGAAAGTATAAAGGAAAGGTAGAGACATGGAGAACCTTTCCAGAAGTCCTAACATCTGTCAAATAATAATTCCAAAGGAGAACATGGAAGATAGACTATGTTTGAAGCAATAAAGACCAAGAATGTTTCCCAACTGAAGACAAATTGGTAGGATTGAAAGAATCACTGAATAAAGATTTATATACAAATAGATAAATATATATACATTTTTAATTAAAATATGTAGACACATCACAATAAACTTCAGAACATTAAGAATGAAGGCAAAAATCCTAAAAGTTAACTACAGAAGAGATTATTTACATATCAAGAAAATTCCTGTCAAGAAATGACCATCTTGGCCAGGCTTGGCTCACCACTGTAATCTCAGTACTTTGGGAGGCCAAGGTAGGAGGACTGCTTGAGCGCAAGAGTTTGAGACCAACCTAGGCAACAGAAATTTTAAAAATTAGCCAGGCATGGTGGTGCATACCTGTAGTCCTAGCTACTCGGGAGGCTGAGGTGGAAGGATGGCTTGAGCCCAGGAGGTCAAGGCTGCAGTGAGCTATGATGATGCCATTGCACTCTAGCCCGAGTGACAGAGCAAGACCCTGTCTCCTAAAAAGGGGGGCCAGGGTGGGGGAGAGTATTTATGATAAATTTGTATTAAATTTCCATCATATAATAAGTTTGGTGTTCTAGTAGCTGAGGAGAGAATGAAGCAACATAAAAGTAAACATCTCTTTTCTCATGAAACTATGTATAGTTATTTATTAACTTTTCTCTTTGTTGAATAGTAAGGATAAGCATGTTGAAGAGAAGAGGACTTAAGTACTGTACTTGAAGAAAATAATGAAATTAAAAGCTTTCAGATGGAGTGGGTGGGAGTGAAACTAAGAGAACTTGATCAATCTAACAAGGTGATTCTATGTCCAAGGAGACATGGAAACATGTATTTATTATGGACGCATGATAAACAGAAAGTGCAAAAATGTCAGAAATAAGTCCAGCCATATTAATAACTAAGAAAAGTAATATAATCGGTAAAACTCACTTATTAAAGTAATAGTAACTCTCATATTGGCTAAAAGCAAAATCTAGTGAAGTCACACCTAAAAATAAAACATTACATTAGAGTGGAAAATAAATAAAATGATTTTTTAAATGCCATTTATTCAGCAAATATTTATACCTGGTAAATATCAAGATAAAAAAATACCCCTAGGGTAGTAAATAAAATGCCAGGCAAACATTACTTAAGGGACCAAAGAGAAAATGATATTGATAGAAGCAACAATTTAACAAGATAGTTTTAATATACATGGCTTTTAAATACATAGAACAAAAACTAGTAGAACTAAAAAAAGGAATAAAAAATCTATAATCATATTTGAAGACTTTAGTATATCTCTTAGAAAAACAGATTAGACAAAAAATAAAGATATAGAATAACACAATCAACAAGAGTATCTAATTGATATTTACCTAGAATTCTGACTTTAACATAATTTACATGCATGGATTATTTTCAACAGAAGTTATGTTGTAGACCACAAAGAAAGTCTTTTAAGAATTTTTTTTTTTTATGCTACCCAGCTAGGCTCAGTGGCTTATGCTTGTAATCCCAGCACTTTGGGAGACTGAGCTGGGCGGATCACCTGAGGTCAGGAGTTTGAGACCAGCCTGGCCAACGTGGTGAAATCCGTCTCTACTAAAAATACCAAAAATTAGCCAGGCATGGTGGCATGCGCCTGTAGTTCCAGCTACTCAGGAAGCTGAGGCAGGAGAATTGCTTGAACCTGGGAGGCAAAGGTTGCAGTAAGCAGAGATTGTGCCACTGCACTCCAGCCTGGGCAACAGAGTGAGACTCCATCTCAAAAAAAAAAAAAAAAGATATATCTTAATAATTTCTGGTAATTTCTGGATTAATTAAAATAGAACTGGTAAAAGTGACAACACAAGGCCTTTATATCAGCACTTGTGTGATTCAGAGAAAGCACAGAGGAAATTTCCTCAGAGGAAAAATAATTTTAAATTCATTTATCGGCAAATTAAAACATTGTATGAACAGTATGATATTATTAATGTTTAAAAATGCCTTTGCTTATTGTATTATTCTATACCTGGAAAACCCTAAAGATTTCCCCCAGAAGACTCCATAGACCCCTGTTAAATAACTTTAGTAAAGTCTCAGGATACTAAATCAATGCACAAAAATCAGAAGCATTTCTATATACCTATAATGTTCAAGCTGAGAACCAAATCAAGAGTGCAGTTCCATTTACAAGAACTGCAAAAAATGAAATAATTAAAATACCTAGGAATACATCTAACCAAGAAGGTAAAAGATCTCTACAGGAGAACTGAAAAACACTGCTGAAAAAAAGGATTTTCCATTCCTTTTTTAGAATACATCTAACCAAGAAGGTAAAAGATCTCTACAGGAGAACTGAAAAGCATTGCTGAAAGAAATTATAAATGACAAACAAATGAAAAAGAATTCCGTGATCACAGATTGGATGGAAGACTGCAGTATCATTAAAATATCTGTACTGCCCAAAGCAATCTACAGATTCAATGTGATTCCTATCAAATGACCAATGTCATTTTTCACAGAATTAGGAAAAACTATTCTAAAAGTCATATGAGGCCGGGCACAGTGGCTCACACCTGTAACCCCAGCACTTTGGGAGGCAGAGGGCAGACAGATCACCTGACGGCAGCAGTTCAAGACCAGCCTGACCAACATGGTGAAACTCAGTCTCTACTAAAAATACAAAACTTTGCTGGGCCTGGTGGTGCACGCCTGTACTCCCAGCTACTCGGGAGGCTGAGGCAGGAGAATCACTTCAACCCAGAGGCAGACATTGCATTGACCCGAGATCATGCCACTGCACTCCAGCCTGGCAACAGAGTGAGACTCTGTCTCAAAAAATAAGAAAAAAAAATATGAAACCAAAAAAGAACCTGAACAGCCAAAGCAATTCTAAGCAAAAAGAACAAAGCTTGAGGCATCACATTACTTAACTTCAAGCTATACTAAAAGGCTGCAGTAATCAAAACAGTATTGTACAGGTACAGACATAGACATGTAGCCCAATGGAACAGAATAGAGAACCCACACCAACAACCAACTAATCTTCAACAAAGTCAACAAAAATAAACAGTGGGGAAAGGATACCCTATTCAGTAAATGGCACTGGGAAAACCGGATACCCACATGCAGAAGAATGAAACTGGATCCCTACCTCTTACCATATGCAGAAATCAATTCAAGATGGATTAAAGACTTAAATGCAAGATTTCAAACTACAAAAATCCTAGAAGAAAAACTAGGAAATGCTCTTCTGGACCTTACCCTATGCAAAGAATTTATGACTAAGTTCTCAAAAGCAAATGCAACAAAAACAAAATTTGACAAGTGGAGCCTAATTAAACTAAAGAGCTTCTTCACAGCAAAAGAAACTATCAGCAGAATGGGAGAAAATATTTGCAAACTATGCATCCAACAAAGGACTAAATATCCAGGCTCTATAAGGAACTTAAATCGATAAGAAAAATAACCTCATTAAAAAGTAGGCAAAGGACATAAACAGTCACTTCTCAAAAAAAAAAAAGACATACAAGCAGTCAAGAAACATGAAAAAGTACTCAACATCACTACTCATCAGAGATGCAAATCAAAACCACAATGAGGTACCATCTCACACCCTTCAGAATGGCTATTATTAAAAAGTCAGGCCGGGCACAGTGGCTCACACCTGTAATCCCAGCATTTTGGGAGGCCAAGGAAGGTGGATTCCAAAGTCAGGAGGTCAAGACCAGCCTGGCCATGATGGTGAAACCCAGTGTCTACTAAAAATACAAAAATTAGCCAGGTGCAGTGGCAGGCGCCTGTAATCCCAGCTATTCAGGAGGCTGAGGCAGGAGAATCGCTTGAACCCAGGAGGCAGAGGTTGCAGTGAGCCAAGATTGTGCCACTGCACTCCAGCCTAGGTGACAGAGTGAGGCTTCTTCTCAAAAAAATAATTAAAAGTCAAAAAATAACATGTTGGTGAAGCTGCAGAGATAAGGGAAACGTACACTGCTGGCAGAAGGTAAATTAGTTAAACCACTGTGGAAAACAGTTTGGAGATTTCTCAAAGAACTAAAACTAGAATTACCATTTGACCCAGCCATCCCATTACTGAGTATATACCCAAAGGAAAATAAACCATTCTACCAAAAAGACACTGCACTCATTATGTTTATCACAGCACCATTCACAATAGCAGCTGGGCATGGTGGCTCATGCCCATAATCCCAGCCCTTTGGGAGGCCTAGCTGGGAGGCTCGCTAGAGGCCAAGAGTTTGAGACCAGCCTGGACAACATACAGAGACTCCATCTCTACAAAAATAAAAAATTTAGTCAGGTGTGGTGACACATGCCTGTGGTCTCAGCTACCTGGGAGGCTAAGGTGGAAGAATTGCTTGGGCTTGGGAGGTTGAGGCTGCGGTGAGCCATGATTGTACCACTGCACTACAGCCTGTGTGACAGTACAACCCTGTCTCAAAAAAAAAACCCCCACTGTTACAAAGATATAGAACCAACCTATGTGCCCATCAACTCAAGAGTGGATAAAGAAAATATGCCACATATAGGTCATGGAATACTATACAGCCATAAAAAAGAAACCATGTCCTTTGCAGCAGCACGCATGCAGCTGGAGGCCATTATCCTAAATGAATTAATGTAGAAATAGAAAAAAGAAAAAAGGAAACCAAATGCCACATGTTCTCACTTATCCGTCAGAGCTACCCATTGGGTACACATGCATATAAAGATGAAAACAATAGGTAACTTGCTCAAGTCCAGCTGCTGGCTGCCCATAAACCAAGAATAGGAGAAACGAGATGTGGTGAAAGGAAAGTAATTTTATTTATCAAATGCTAGCAATTGGAGAATGGCCAGGCTCATGCCTTCAAAAGACCATTCCAACTTTTTGGGCTAAATGAAGGGGTTTAAGAAGGAAAAGGTGTGGGAAATATGCAGGAGTGTTGCCCGAGGGTGCAGGTCTGCATGACTTGTTTCAATGGTTATCTTGAGAAATTGCCTGTCCAGAAGGTCTGGTTTGCCTCATCCTGACTTTGGCCTGGTAGTGGTAGGTTAACTGTTCATAACTACCCCTAAGTGGGAGCTGTATCTCTCTGCCTGGTTTGTTTCAAAATTGGCCCCTGGATTACCTAAGCAAGCACATAATTAGATAAGCAAGCACTGTTCATTGAAGTGCCTGGTGGGAAAAGTAGAAACAAAGCATTTCAAAATATGTTTCAAAGCTGAAAACAAGAAAGGAAAAAAAGTTTTAAAATGCATTTTGAGGCTGGGATGCTCAGTTAAAAATAGACACTAGAGAATCCAAAGGGGAGGAGGCAAGGAGGGGTCAAGGGTTGAAAAACTACCTATTAGGTACTATATTCACTACTTGGGTGGTGGGATTAATAGAAGACCAAACCTCATCCTCAGCAACACACAATATACCCATTAACCAACCTTAACGTGTACCTCCTGAATCTTAAAAAAAAAAAAGACTTCTGGATCCAAATTGTTACTTAGACAACTGTAAGTCAGATATATTCAAATACATCACCATCACCCTGTATTTATATATGCATATATGCAAATACTAGGTGCATTTCTAATAAACAGCAATAGATTTCCTGGCTTTTATATTTTTACTTAAGTTGTATTGTTTTATTTTCATTTCATGTTGTTCATTGCTAGCATGAAGAAATACAATTGATTTTTTAAATATTTCTCTTGAATGCTGTAACCTTGCCAAATTCATTAGTTCTAGTACTTTTTTTGTGGAGTCCATCAGGTTTTCTATATACATCATGCTGTCTGTGAATAAAGACAATTTTGCTTTTTTTCCCATCTGGAGGCCTACCATTTTTCTTTTTCCTTGTCTTGTTCCGCTGGCTAGAACTTCCAATACAATGTTGGGTAGAAATGTGAGAGCATACATCCTTGTCTTGTTTCTGATGTTGGGGGAAAGTACTCTTTCACCATTAAATATGATGTTAACTGTAAATTTTCCATAGATGCTTTTGTCAGGTTGAGGAAGTTCTCATCTATTCCTATGTTGCTGAGTGTTTTTGTTAGAAATAAATGTTGGATTTTGTAAAATACTTGTTCTGCATTTGTTGAGGGTTTTTTTTCATTTTTAGTTTGTTAATATGGTACATTATATTGATTGATGTTTCAAATATCAAACCAGCCTTGCATTCCTAGGATAATTGCCTGTAGTCATGATGTATTAACCTTTTTATGTATTTTTGGATTCTGTTAAAATTTGTTTAAAACATTTTTATTTTCAGTGAAGATTATTGGTTTATAGTTTTCTTTCCTTATAATGGCACCCTCTGGTTTTGGTATAAGAGTAATTTTGCTTCATAGAATGAGTTGGGAAGCATCTTCCCCTCTTTAGTTTACTGGTTGAGTTTGTTTAGAATTGATGTTGTTTTCATTAACTGTTTTGTAGAATTCACCAGTGGAGCCATCTGGCCTGCTGTTTTCTTTGTGGAAAATTTAATTTAATTTATAATTACTAATTAAGTTTTTAAAAAATAAGTCTAGGGCTATTCAGGTTATTTCTTTTTGAGTGAGCTGTGGTAGCTTGTGTATTTTGAGAAATTTATCCATTTCATCTAAACTGTCTAATTTATTGGCATAAATTTGTTCATAATACTTCCTCATACTTCTAAAATCTGGATAATCTGTACTGATGTTACTTCTCTTGTTCTTGATACTGGTAACTTGTTTCTTCTCTCTGTTTTGCTTAATCAGTCTAGCTAGAGGTTTGAAAATTTTACTGATCTTCTCTTAATAAGGATCTGTATAAGAATAAGGAGTTAGCAATATGAAGGTCTGGGGACAGGCAAGAGCACTTGCACAGTTCCTGCAAAGGGGAGATCTTGGCATTTTCAAAGACAATAAACTGTAAGTGGCCAAGAATGGAAGCATGGAGGAGAGCAGTTATGAGACTATGGCAATATAAATCAGAGAAAGATGATGTTGTCTTGGACCACTGCAGTGGCTAATGAGGTGATGAAAAGTGATCAGAAGCAGATTATGAAGGCAGGGCTAATAGGAGCTGCCGGTGACTTGTACTTGGAATGACAGAGAAGAGTCATGAATTATGCCTAGTCTTAAGCCTGAGTAATGTGGTTAATGGTGGCTTTATGAAATAGGGAAGACTGAGAGGAGCAGATTTGGGTTATTATGCAGGTAAGTGCAGTGGAGATGAGACATCAACAGTTCGGATTTAGATGTAATGAAGAATTTGAATTCGAATGGTTAATTCAAATAATTTGTTGTTGCCACGTATGTGTGTATGTGGGGGTTTTGGGTGGCGTTGTTGTTGTTGTTGTTGTTGTTGTTGTTGTTGTTGTTGAGACAGGGTCTCACTCTGGTTGCCTAGGCTGGAGTGCAGTGGCACAATCTCGGCTCACTGAAGCCTTGATCTCCCAGGCTCAGGTGATTCTCCCACCTCTGAAGTAGCTGGGATTACAGTTGTGCAGACCACATCCAGCTAATTTTTTTTTTTTTTTTTTTTTAAGTAGAGGTAGAGGCAGGGCTTTCCTCTGTTGCCCAGGCTGGTCTCGAACTCCTGGATTCAAGCAATCCACCTGCCTTAGCCCCCCAAGTGGTAAGATTACAGGCCTGAGCCACCACACCTGGCTAGTTGTATATATTTTTTTATGTTTGCTTAAGTTATCCAGGAAATTCAATCTTTACCTCATAAAGATTGTCTATCTAATGAAGCCACTATGTAAGGGATATTCAAGGTAGAGGAGGCAATCTTTTACAACTGATTTAGCATATAATTTCACATAAAACATTCAAATTATAATATACCATGAAATATAAGAAACAGATATATATGAATTGTGCTAACAAGGACATAGGTGTGAAGTGTTCAGATTTCAGGGTATAACCTTATGCTAACAAACCTTACAGAGAAATAGTCTATTGGTAGGTTGTATATGTAATGTGAATAACCAATAAAAACTTTCTTGGTAAGATCAAAACATGGAACTCTGAAATTATTTATTTTTCTTTTCCAAAGTTCTTTGTGTATAAATCAGATCTTGAGGACGACTCAGGAAAATTGGGCTCAGAGTCTCAGACCTCCTTTAAAACAGACCATGATGTTATGTTCAGCCCAAGTAGAGCTGATAAAATCTGGTGTCCTTGGAATAGGCCCAGAAGGTGACTAACTTCCAGGAGTAGAAGGATTGAATCTCTAATTTTGGGAAATGATAAACTACAGAGAAACCACTATCCTCTCCCAGAAAGTACTCTTAAGAGAATATTAAGCTGGTTAATCTATTGGACTTATCTCTTTTCTAATTATATATAGTAAGTCTCCCAGTCAGAATAAAATTCTTTCAGTCTCAGACTAAAGTAGAATCATAATAGAATACATTAAGGAATGAAGTTTTTAAATTTACATTTTTGTTTCAGCAATCCTCTAAATAAAATGTAATAAGCATTTAGTATTAGCAAATCCTTTGAGGGCAGGGACCTTATTTGTGTCATTCATTACTATATTCCTAGCATAAGCATAGTGTGGGTACACTGATAATTTTCTAGATGAATATGTATATTAGTGAACTTCATAGTAGAAAGCGTGGCTTATTTCATGTATTTTTAATACATTTATTCACTAGAGGGTGCTGTGTAAGCATTCAGCACTTTAAAAGTGTCATCTCTTTCACTTGTACTTACTTGCAGGAAGGTTGGATTTTTAAATCACCTGATTTAGCAAAAGCTTTCATTTCTTTTCGTTTTCAAAGCAGTACTGGTGGTATTGTGTATGGTTAAATTAATGAAAATGAGAGATTAATGGCAGCATTAACACAAATGTTTCCTTTCTTCCTCCTCCTTAGGAGACTTATGACCCCAATCATGTATGCTGCTCGAGATGGTCACACCCAGGTTGTTGCTCTCCTTGTTGCTCATGGAGCAGAAGTTAATACCCAGGATGAGAATGGTTACACTGTGAGAAACATTTTTACAATGTTTCTTTTTGTTTCTGTTATTATCAGTAATCTACAAAAAAAGAATTTTAAGAAGTAATAATTACAAAAGGGCTGGAATATAATTGCTATCTGGTGAAAAAAAGCAACAGTTGAAATAGAAGGGTATGGTGACTCACACCTGTAATCCCTGCACTTTGGGAGGCCGAGGCAGGCGGATCATTTGAGGTTAGGAATTTGAGACCAGCCTGGCCAACATGGTGAAACCCTGTCTCTACTAAAAATACAAAAAATTAGCCAGGCATGGTGGCACGTGCCTTTAATCCCAGCTACTCAGGAGGCTGAGGCAGGAGAATCGCTTGAACCCAAGAGGCAGAGGTTGTAGTGAGCCAAGATCGCACCACTGCACTTCAGCCTGGGCAACAAGAGCGAAACTCCATCTCAAAAAAAAAGAAAAGAAAAGAAATAGAAATGAGGAATTAACTGACTCTCGTAGTCCTTACTCTTGATTAAAAAAAAAAATTGTAACACACAGCAAAATCTGGGCTCTAAAATATACATAAGAATTATTTTTTGTAGAAAACCCTTCAGTGATTGGCAAATAAATCATTTTATTCCTTAACATCAGTTAATTGTATAAAACACTGGTTTTAAAAAATCAATGAGCTTTGCAGTCAGCTTTGCAATTACAACTTTGGAAATATGTTTACATTATATTGTAAAATGAAGAGATTGCATCATTCCATTAATTAACTATGTTCTCTTTTTTATTGTGTCATAAATACTGTTGAAAACTTTTCCTGTCTGTCTCATATACACTCCTTCTCTTTAAACAATCTTCTTTTCCCCCTACTTACAGGCTTTAACGTGGGCAGCACGTCAGGGTCATAAAAATATAGTTTTGAAGTTGCTTGAACTTGGAGCTAATAAAATGCTACAAACCAAAGATGGAAAGATGCCAAGTGAGATTGCAAAAAGAAACAAACATCATGAGGTATCCTTCTGTACATATTAAACTTATTTTCTGTGGCATATCACATTATCATTTGTAGAACTTTTGTATTATTCTGTTAGAATTAAAAGTGTAATTATAGTGTATCTGGCAATTATTAAATGTTTAAATATGTATCTTTCCTCCAGCCAGGTAATGAGAACTTTATTTTGCTAGAGTATTCATCTTCTATGAAACAAGAAGCACTTATAGTAATTTAAAAGCTCTATAAAAGAGTAATAAAATCTTATTCTGGCCCCAGGAATAAAATTGTAATATACTATTTAAACATTTTAAACTGGTCCAGAATTTTAAAAGTAATTTAGTGAAAGCTAGTAAAATGCCAGTTTGAACATGTAACTCAAACATTCTTTTGTAAGTTTAATTAATGTATTAAACAATTTAAAAATTAAATTCCTTAAACAACATTTGCTCTTATATGTGTGACAGGGCTTACGATAAAGTGATAATATACCTGGATGTATAATCTGTCATTCAGATGTTAAACTCAATAATAAATACTTGCCATACATTAAATTACTTTATCAATATAAACTTTTGGTCTGAAGATTAAAGCTTTAGCCACAAGTCTGTAACTTCTAAGCAAGGATCAAGTATAGTACAATTATAAAACTAAGTTGTTTAGTTCAAGAGTTTGTAACACTGAGTTCCCGAATTTGAAAGCACGTAAAATTCCAAAGATTCCGTCATGTAATCATCAAACCAAGCCACTTTTACTGCATATAAAGTAACTTCCTCTAACCTTTTAAGCAATCTGATAAACATGGCTATCATTTTCCAAATATTATTCTAATATTTTCAGAATTTTTATAGGATAAACAGTAATCACTACAGCCCTGTAGAATTTCAAAAAGGAATTTACCATTTTTCTTCCAAACTTTGAAAATTCAAAAACTTAAAATTATTTTATTACATTGTTAAATGTAGAGTAGATGACACCAAACTTGACATAAGAAGTTTATGAACATCAAAGGTTATTTTGAGTCATAAATCATTTATTGAAATGAGATTTGATCTTGTATTTTGGCTGAGTATGTGATATAACCTTGACTTCCTGAGAGGTTAGATTTTAAAACTCAGGAATTTCACCATATCTTTTTGAGGTGTTCAGTTAGGATTTGTATACATTTAGTCATGCTCATTACTCTCTTGCCACTTAGCAATGTTTTTAAAGTACTATCTTAATATTTAATCTGAGTCATTTATCCAAATGGAATTTTTAGTTTCGCTATGTATCTTACCAAAAATATTAATTACTATCTTCCTTTAATTTTTACTATTTTGAATTAGATGTACTTTTTTCTTTTCTGATTATTGTAGGTTAAGGAAGCACTTAGATATCCCAATTACCCTGATTTGTTTATTATACATTGTATATGTGTATCAAAATATCGCATGTACCCCCCAAAATATATACAACTGTGATATATCATTTTTTTAAAAGTTGTTATCAGGGTAGTAAATTGTGAAACATCTGTCCCACTTACTTGCTAAAATTTCCTTTCTGGATATGAGATAATCGTATGTTCAGTTTCTTTTAAGTGTAAGTTACAGTATGCAATGTTAATTATATTTGAATGATGTTAACTTTTTTCAGATCTTCAACTTACTTTCTTTTACTTTAAATCCATTGGAAGGAAAACTTCAACAGCTAACTAAAGAAGACACTATTTGTAAAATATTGACAACAGATTCTGATAGAGAAAAAGATCACATTTTTAGGTAATATAGCATGTTTTAGTTCAACAGAATACCTATAAGTAAAATTTGTGTATATTTTATTGTAGTAAATGTGGTGACTTATTTAAAATATATGATATTTTAAATGTTTACAAGCATTTTTAAATGTCTGGGTTTTTAGTGTTCTCCAGAATTTTAGAAAATTTTTATTCATTTTTATGTACTAACACTAATGATAATAACTTTAAATGTAAACTTTAAGTAAGATATCAACAATAAAATCTATTTTTAAAAGGTTCTGAAATTATATTAGTGTTCAAACAGTATAACACCTTGTTTTCTAATTATTTTTAGTACAGTTCTAATTTTATAAGCTAAAATTAAACATATACTTTTCCCCCCAGAACACCACTGTTGAGTACATGGCCAAAAATAATTCTCTCCTTACCCCATTTAAAGTTACTTAAATTTTACTTATTGCAATTAAAGAGGTGTGGTTTTTTTTCATTTTTTGTTTTTTGTGGGTTTTTTTGCCTCAAACACCTGTGCTCAAGCAGTTCTCCCGCCACAGCCTCCCAAGTAGCTGGGACTGCAGGTGTATGCTACTGTACCAGGCTGAGGAGATTTTTATGTGCAGAAATTTCACAAGGAGTACATACTGGCATATATTTTCATTTGGGGAAAGATGAGTTATACTCCTCATATATCTTCAGTCACAAAACCTTACTTATTCCTTTGATATAGCATAGGTCTGGTGTGCAGATTGCAAATATATTCTACATGAATTCATTATTATTCATATTCTCTTGCAATATAAATGTATATTTATCGCTTGTGCATTTATAATCTGTTCTGAAATTGACATTGCTATAAATGTATACAGTTCATATACAGCATTTGGAGATCTGGAAGTATTTTTACATGGTCTTGGACTTGAACATATGACAGATTTACTAAAGGTAAGATCTTATATAACCTACAGTGAGTTATGCATATATGTTAATTTGTTGGTTAATATAATGTTAGATATTAATTCATAAACATGTCTATGAATAACTGCCAATTTACTTTTCACCATAATTTGTAGTACATCCCAATTTTAAATTTGTGAAAAACATTGCAAAAATGTATTATTCTAGAAATTTACATAAATTAGAATCTGAGATTAAACAGTTTTTACCCACTGCCTAACCTTCATATACACCTGAGCCCTTAGTTTGTTTCTGTAGTTGCTCATCTTCTTGAGTAGAATATTGGAAGAGCGTGATTTTAAACCAAACACCTGGTATCAGATTCTTGCTCTAATGTTTAATCACTGAAATATGTGACTTAAATATCTCATTTTCTTCATAAGGATAATAATACCTAGTGTTGGGTTGTCATGAAGGTTAAATCAGATCATATGCCAAGCACTGTGTGGGTGTTTTAAGCATACATTATGGGGTTTGAGTCCATGACAGTTGTTACCAGCTAGGTGGAGATACTGAAGCAGTAAAGCACTATTTAAGATAGACTCTTCTTGGGAGTGTGCACATTCTGTTAAAATATTTCAGAGTTGTGCTTCATTGTATAATCTTGAAATGTCTCCCTATTTGGAGAAATCTTGAGTAAAACTACATGTTGGTTTAATGTGATACAGTCAGAAATTTAAAATATTCATAAAACATAATTTCTGCCAAATTTTATAGAACTGCTTTTCTTTTAATGTAAGCAAATATGAATGGTAATCATTTGAATCTGGAAAACTAGCTATATTTATACTTTTTAGGTGAATATAATTATTATGATACTCATTACTGTCTACTCAGTAGCATAGTTCTGCATGTATATATCCTGTCCCCTCTAGAAAATTGGAATTTGCTTCAGAGTGAAGCAAGTAACTAACTTATGAACATTTGCCTACTTCTCCTTCTACTATTTTAATTATATGGAAAGGTGGCCTTTTTTTCCTTTTATACAGGAAAGGGATATAACGTTAAGACATCTTTTGACCATGAGGGAAGATGAATTTACAAAGGTTAGTATCAATTTCAAAAATTCCCGATACATTGTTTGATGTTTTTAAAATTGTGGATCCTTTTCTTCTCTCTTTTTAAAATGCCAGGGCTATAGACAAAAGATTGATCTTCTACTGTGTCCTTGATTAGATATGATTATGGATAACCGTATCTAAAATCTTGTGTTAGTATTAAGTTACTTTAAGAACATGTAATGACTTATAGTTTGGGTTTTGTTTTTGTTTTTTTCAGATTGTCATGACAGCTAGAACTGATCCTTCAGTTTCAAATGTGCAATAGATTTGTAAAATGGGGCACTTACAAATAAGAGATAGTTTTTTTATGTATATGGGTATTAACACGTCTCCCAAGCCTTTTGTTTGGTTCTCAAAACTGAGACCTTTTATTTTGCCATCTAGTATTATCTAATAACATATAGCTGCGGGATGTATTAGAGACACTTTGATAAATAGCATATGTAAAAAGCAATGATCTGACTGCATGACCACATTGGAAACTTGACATTTTTAATATCACTAAAAATCAGTAAGCATACTACAAAACTAAATCCAGTATAGAAAATTTAGTTTAACACTAAAGGTAGAATACAAACAAAGATAGGGCCTAATTCTCATTTATCACTGATAATATTTTAAATAAAAATTTGAAGGAAATTTTGTTTTACTGTGTTTTTTTGAAATATTACATATTAAGTTCTAGTAATTTGTTTTGGGAGTCCATCATAGTTGTTATGTATTGCAAAAAAATTGACTATAGTTATTATATATCTCAATATTCTAATGCTGTAACTAACATCAATCACAGTTATAAGAAAAACATATTTTTTAGAAGTGTGTTATTTTTCCAATATATGCCTATTTTTTCAAGATGTGAATTCATCAAGAAAACATCTTTAGCAATTTTGAGTTTTAAATTACTCAAGTATAACTAACTTACTGTACCTTAAAATTATTTCTGCTTAGAATGGAATTACCAGTAAAGACCAGCAGAAAATTCTGGCTGCTCTTAAAGAACTACAGGTAGAAGAGATACAATTTGGAGAGCTATCTGAAGAGACAAAGTTGGAAATCAGGTAAAATTAACTTATTTGTTTATATTATTAATAGTGTTAAGAACCAATTGTTCTTTTTAGTTTAATTTTCATAATGTCTGAGTCATTTTACTTGATACCATCATTTTCCCAGGGTAATAGATTTTGGAAGATACTGTGTTCTGAAATTAGATGTACTTTGTAAAGTCAATTTTTATAAAGTCATTTACCAAGAAGCAAACAATATGTCTTCTTGTTAACTCACATAGAAATATTTTTGTTTTATTTTTTCATTGCATCTTGCTAAATTGAACCTTACAAACAATCCCATGCTTTTTATAGTATACCTTTAAAAATCATTTTAGAGGTTAAATTGAAAATTCAAAGTAGTAATATTTTCACTTAGGGCAATAAGAAAACATGTCTCATGTAGCTCAGTTCTATTTTCAGCCTTACTGTATGAGAAATTATGTTACCAATATGTAAACTTCATTTCCAATATTATGAACTTGTCAAGCAATGGTTATTAATAATCCCAAATCTATTTTGAAAATAATATTTGATTTTATTAATACATTATAGAGCAATAAATGATTTTTAAAAATTTTTTGAAATATAGATTATTGGGATATTTCAAAGATACACAGGGAAGTCCCATGCATTCTGTACCTAGTTTTGCCCAGTATTGGTATCTTTTATAACTGTAAGACAATATCAAAACCAGAAAATTTACATTGGTATGACCCATACGGCTTACTCATATTTTGTGAGTTATGCACTCATTTGTGTGTGTGTGTGTGTGTGTGTGTGTATATATATATATATATATATATATATATATATATAATTTTATCACATTTATAGCTTCATGTAACTACTTCCGTGTTCAATGTACTTAACACAGGGCTGTCTCATAATACCCCTTTATAGCCACATCTAACCTTCTCCCCATCCCAACCCCTAGCAACCAATAATTTGTTCTCCATCTTTTTAATGATGTTATTTCATGAATATTATATAAATAGAATCATACAGTATATATCCTTTTGAGATTAACTTTTTTCAATCATCCTAATTTTCTTGAGGTTCATCAAAGTTGTTGCATGTATCAGTACAATAGTTAATTCCTTTTTATTGCTGAGTAGTATTCCATGGTATGTATATACCACAGTTTGTTTAACCATTTATCCATTGAAGAACATTTGAGTAGATTTTAGTTTTTAGCTATTCCAAATAAAACTGCCATGAACATTCATCTACAAGATTCTGTTAGAAAATACATTTTCTTTCTCTGGGATAAATGCCAAAGAGGACAATTGTTAGGTTGTACGGTGGTTGCATATTTAGTATATTTTAAAACTGCCCAACTGTTTTCCAGAATGGCAGTACTGTTTTATGTTTCTAGCAAGCTTATGAGTGATCCAGTTTGCTCTCCATCCTCACAATCATTTGGTGTTAGCATGATTTTTTTTAGCCATTTCTGATGGGTATACAGTAATAGCTTGTTGTGTTTTTATTTGCACTTACTAATAGCTAATGATGTCAAACAGCCTTTTATATCTTATTTGCCATATGTGTACTTTTTGTGGTGAAATTCTAACAGTATCTTTTGCCCATTTTATGTTGGATTAATTGTTTTTTAATGTTGAGTTTTGGGAGTTATCTACATTGAAATCTTTTGTTGGATATGTGATTTGTAAATATTTTTCCCAACTCTGTAATTTTTCTTTTCATCCTCTTAATGGGGTCTTTCACAGAGCAGAAACTTTTATTTTGATGAGGTCTAAGTTACCAAATTTTCCCTTTACAGAACAGTACTTTTGGCATATTTTTAGTATCAGGTTAAAGAACAGTTTAAGAAATTAGGTCTCAAAGATTTTCTCCTGTGCTTTTTTCCCAGAAGTTTTATAGTTTTACATTTAAGTCCATGATACATTTTGAGTTCATTTTTGTAAAGTTATGAGGTTTAGGCTGAGGTTCATTTTTTTTTTCACCTGGGGATAGATAATTGCCCCAGCACTATTTATTGAAAAGGCTGTTCCTCCCCCATTGAATTGCTTTTGATTATATGTCAAAAATTAATTGCACATATTTGTGTGGGTATAATCTGGGTTCTCTATTCTGGGTTCTTTATGTGTCTATCCCTCTGAAAGTACCACGTCTTGATTACTCTAACTATATGGTAAACCTTAATATCAGGAAGAGTGATTCCTCCCATTTTGTTCTTTTTCAAAATCATCTTGGCTCTTCTAGAGCCTTTTTCTTTCCATATACATTTTAGATAAAGCTTTTCTATGTCTACAAAAAACCTTTCTGAGATTGTGGTAGTAATTCCATGAATCCTATTGATTAATTTAGGTATAATTGACATTTAGCTATGTTAATTCTACTAATTCATAAACACAGATATCTCTAAAAGTTTTAGGTTTTCTTTTTTTAAAATATATTTTTTGAGACCAGGTCTCGCCCTGTCACCCAGGTTGGAGAACAATGGCACAATGAGGGCTCACTGCAACCTCGAATTCCTGGGCTCAGGTGATCCTCCCGCCTGAGCCTCCTGAGTAGGTGAGACCATGGGCATGCACCACCATGCCTGGCTAATTTTTGAACTTTTTTGTAGAGACAGAGTCTCCACTTTGTTGCCACAGTTGGTCTCAAACTCCTAGGTTCAAGTGATCCTCCCACCTCGGCTCCCTAAGTACTGGGATGACAAACCTGACCCACCATTTCTGACCTTTGTTTTCTTTCATCAGCATTTTGTCATTTTCATCATACAGATCTCATGCATATTTCATTAGATTTATACCTAAGTATTTCATTTTATTTGGCACAATTGCCAATGGTATTTCTCTTTTTATTTGTTTCCATGTGCAATTGATTTTTGTGTCTCGACTGTACATTTCCACCTTACTGAACTCAGTTATTAGTTCTAGGAGGCTTTTTGTAGATTGTTTGAGATTTTCTATGTAGATAATCATGTAGTCTGCAAAAAGAGGTTAATTTTTTCCTTTCACATTTGTATACCTTTTTTTTCCCTCATGGCAGTGGGTAAGACTTTCAGTATTATGTTGGATAAGAGTGGTAGATAGTGGACATTCTTGCCTTCTTCCCAATCTCAGGAGAAAACCATGCACTTTTTTACTATTAATTAACTGTGATGTTAGCTATAGGTTTTTTTGTAGATTATGAGATTGGGGAAGTTATGCGCTATTCATTTTTCTAAAAGTTTTTATCATGAATGGTTGTGGAATTTTTTCAAATGCTTTTTCTATCCCAACTGATACGACCATATGACTTTTTTCTTTAGCCTGTTGATATGGTTACTTTGTTAGATTTTTAACTATTGAGCCAACCTTGCATACCTGGATTAATCCCATGTGGTTGTGGGTTATTATTCTTTTTATGCATTATTGGATTTGATTTGCCAGTATTTTGCTAAGAATTTTGTGTCTAAGTTCATGATAAATATTGCTCTGTAAGTTTCCTTTTTGTATTTTGTCTGGTTTTGGTATCAGGACAATACTGGCCTCACAAAATGAATTGGGATGTATTCCCCCTCCTTTTATTTTCTGTAAGAGATTGTGTAGAATTGACATTAACTCTTCTTTAAACATTCTGTAGATTTCTCCAGTGAAACCATCTGGACCTGGATATTTTGTGGGGGAAGCTTTTAAATTACAATTTGATTTATTTAATGGTCATAGGATTATTCAAGTTATATCTGTTTTGCTTTGGCTGAGTTTTGGTAATGTGTGGTTTTTCAAGGACTTGGTTCATTTTTTCTAATTTATCAAGCCAAAAGTTGCCCCTAGTATTTCCAGCTACTCTTTGGATGGCTGTGGGATCTGTTATAATACCCCATTTCATTCTTTATATTGGCGATTTCTGTCTTTTCTCTTTTTATCTCTGTTAGTCTTGCTAGAGGTTTATGCATTTTTTTTCAAAGAACCTGCTCTTTTGTTTCAGTAACTTTTCTCTATTGTTTTTGCTTTTAGTGTCATTGATTTCTGCTGTTATTCTTACTATTCCTTCTGCTTACTTTGAATTTATTTTGCTCTTTTTCTAGATTCTTGAGGCAGAAATCTAGATCATTTTTGAGACTTTTTTTCTTATGTAAACATTTAGTCTTTTACATTTCCCTCTCAGCACTGCTTTAGTTGCATTCCACAAATTGTGATACATTGTGTGATCATTTTCATTCACTTCTATGTATATTTTTATTTTCTTTGAGACTCCCTCTTTGACCCATGGATTATCTAAATAACCCATGGTGTATGGTGTTTAATGTCCACATGTTTGGAGATTTTTCTGTTATCGATTTCCAGTTTGATTCTGTTGTGGTCAGAGAATATACACTGTATGATTTCAAGGGTTCGGTAGCTACATGTGACTGGTGGCTAGATGGAGACATAGAGCATTAAGATTTTAAAGGCTTTGGCAGGTTGAAGCAAATCTCTCAAAAATTAATAGAGTTAACTTTAATAAGGATAAATGGAAAGTCTAAGATTAACTATATTTCTATAGGATGGGCCTTAATATACATGAAGAATCATTAAGAGTTTTTAAGTTTATTATTTAGTTTAGGTTAACAGTGTCACATGACTAGTTATGGAAAGCTAGCACTGTTAGGCTGCATTAATAGAAATATAAGGTCCAGAATAAATAAGATAACAGTTTTATTGTACATAATACCTACTTCTAGAGATTTTTGCTTATGGAAAGAATTTAACCGTAGCATAGAATACAAACCCTGTAAGGCCTCTTCTGCCTTTTAGATATATGATTGTCTTTTCAGTAATTTTCACCTAGATTTTATAATCCGAAATAACCTATAATAATTGTTTTCATTCCACCAACTAGATAATTTTGAAATTATGTCACTTAGCAACACCACCTTATAACCAGCCTATGAAATTCTTTTTTCTTTTACAATGGTTTTCTCTCCCCAACTTTGAGGATTTGTACATCAAATGTTTTTCCCCACCTTCTACCTCTCATTGCACTTGGTCCGGTTAATTACATTTTACCCAGTCTCTTGCTTATGTAAGCTGTTCTTTTATTGCTTAGGAAACTCTCTTCCTTTCTTCTTTTGGTTTCATATGAGTCCAAAAGTAACCATTATCACAGGGACTAAGAATAGGAATAATGCCTGTACAGAGGACAAACCAAATTTTTTGCCTCTAGAGCTTTTAAAAGTACATACAAGTTCCCTGTAAGAAATCTTCACAAATATTTTTCTATTTCCTCAGTTTCCTCTAATCTTACTTTTAATACCAGCTTAGTATTCTTTTCTAAGTTTTCTTTTTTTAGTTGATTTAAGAGATCACAATCATTTTATTTTTCTACTAATACAAATACTGTTTTTTATTTCAACGTATTCCAGTTTGATTTTTTCCCTAAAATAATTTTACAAATGAGGATTATATATCTAACATAAAACTACCTTACATGTTAGTAGAGACTTGGTTTTTACATGTATGCTTTTGAAACATATTATGGTTCGTAACCATGATTTATGCTAGTGGTTCCCTTACCTGGCTAAGTTATCAGAATGACCTAAGGAGCTTGGTGTATATATTAACCATGTTATCCATTGCCTGGGACATGACTGTGTAGACAAATTTTATTGAATATTTGGATAAATGAGTTAATGAATTATATCCTATACTTGCAAATGCAATGGTATTATCACTAGTAGACTAAAACTAATATTGTAATTATGAGAAACATTAATTAAACATACAAACAATAGATTTTCACATTATTTTGGAGTTCAGAGAAGTATTCCAGGAAATAATATAGACGATCCTAATTTCTTAAAATCTTTATTAGATAGCTTAAATTATAAATATTCCCCATATTAAAATTCCCTATTCCAATTTCTCCATTCTTCTTCCTTAATATATCCCCATATTACAGCAAGATCTATATTTAAAATAATGCCTCATCATTGTTTCAGAATAACATAATAGCTCTTAAATATTTAAATGCATTGTGAAGGATTTCACTTGTGAGGACTTAAAAATCAGCACACCTTCTTAAATATCATTGTTCATTTTCTTGCTTTTTTTCATTATTGTTTCTATGAAGGAATATTCTAAGTTCTAAATGACTGACTTGCAAATTAAATGTTTTTATATAACTTATTTGTATGATGGCAGGGTTGCCTATATGAATTTACTTTATGGGATTTAATAAATGTAAAGAATGTGCAGAATCCTGAATAGTTCACGTATTAAAAGCTACTGAATTTTTTTAAAAAAATAAAACTGGCAGACATATATTCCAGGAATTTGACCTTGTTATTAAATCACAGACTTTGTTTACATGCTGTTATGGAAAAGGTTTTACTTACCATTTGTTCAAAGTCATTCTTTAAAGAAGAAATTAGTCATTAAGTCATAAGAAAACTAACAGCAGGAAAAGTTGAACTGATTGATTATAATCTCCTGGTAATGTGACTTCAACAATTTACTGATTTATTTGAAGATAGTTTTCTTCTATGTGTCAAAATCTTCTAAAATAATCTGTTACAACAATGCATACACACACTGCATTTACTTTTTTCTGACTTAGTATGTTTGCAGAATTAAAGTATGCAATTTAAAGCCAATGCCGTGGGGTGTGCCTGTAGTCCCATCTACTTGAGAGACTGAGGCAGGAGGATAACTTGAGCCCAGGAGTTCAAGGCCAGCCTTGGCAACATAGCAAGACTCTCTTAAAAAAATAAAGAGTGCAATTTAAAATGTTAATATCCATTCTGTTGCTAATTTTAGATATTTTGAACAGAAATAATAAATTTTCATTCACATTTGAAATTTTTAACTGTTCCTGTTTAGACTCTTTGTCTGAGCTAACTGACATCCACTTGAAGGTGTCAGAAGCATCTCAAAACTATGTCCATCAAGGAAACAGCTCCACCCCAAAAAATCTATATAGATGTTAAGATATTATGTAAAAGTGTATTGTTCACCCCTGTTATTTATAAACATTCTAAAATTGGAAACTCTAAATACTGAACATCAGGAAAATGATTAAATTCCATTGCATCAATATAATTATTTTTTCATCATTAAAATTATTTTGAAACTTAATGTCATGGGAAAATACTCATGATAATTATAAAAGGCACAATATAAAAGGTCATGTGAAGCACAATGTCAGTTATATATATCCATAGGAAAAACACTGGAAGAAAATGTGTATTATAAGAAAATATTCTGAGAGAAAATAGTACCAGTCAGTTGTCTGTGAGTGGTAAGATTGTTGATGATTTTAATCTTTTCCAGATATTCTACAGTGAGCGCATAATACCTTTGCTTATAAATACCTTTATTTAAAGTGTAAATTTTATCTTAGTACTTGACTTCAAATTTTTTAAATGGCCTGTTGTTTTAGTTCGCTTATACTGTGTTATGCTGTAGTAACAAATAATTTCTAAATGTCAGTCACTTATAACAAGACTTTATTTCCTGATCGTCTATATCATGGCTCAGCAACAGTGATCTTGTCATTCTGAGAGTAGGCTGGAGGAACAGTCTCAACCTGGGACATACTGATCTCATGGGAAAGGGAAGAGAGAGATGGCAGGATCATTCAGTGGCTCTTGAAGCTTCTGTTCAAAAGTTACACAGTAACTTCCAATCATATTTTATTTGCTAAAGCAAGTCATGTGGTCAGGCCTCATGTCACTGGGGCATGAATTATAGTCCCCTGACAGGGATCGGGGGACTGGTACTAGTTAGCTCTGTAGAAAAGACATGAGAATTTGATCAAATAATGCAGTCTACTATACCTATGTCATATCTGCTTATTTTGAATTTTTTAAATAAGCACAAAGTTATCAGGCCTGCCATATAAAGTTGTGTAGGTTATATACTGTACAGCTGTGATGGAGAGGCACCATTCACATAGTGTAAATGGCACACTGTTGAGTTTTGTTTTGTACAATTTGTCCATCCATATTCAGTGGCTCTGAAAATTATATGTCACAAGAAAGGTATATATTTTCGTTTCATTCATTAAGACTAATTTTGCTAGTAATAAAATTTGCTTATTTGAACTCAGTCTTACTATCTTAAGAATAAGAGCTGATAAATTTATATTCCGCATATATATTTGTGAATCACCTGTCTAAAATTACATACCTGCTATCAGTTGATACTTCCAATGATAATTCTCAATGGATCTTAATTTCCTTGAGGTCATAAATTAAATATATATGGCATTAGTGAATTACTCATTTAGTAGTTATTCTTTTTCTTGATAAATAAAATTTGAATATTTAAAGAACACTGAAATCTAAGTTATAAGTGTACTTATATAAATAGTACATGGAAACAAAATACAAGTAATCACTGCTGTTGCTTTGGCAGAAATGTGTCATATACCCTAAGTTCTGTGTTTTCTAGAGTAAAGATCAGAAAGAAAATAAAGAAGATTTACATCTTTTTTGAAAATGGTTCTATGAATACTTACTGCTAAATAGAACAAGAGTTTTCCTACATTTTTTAATTTTAGGTTTGCTTGTTGAAAGCAACCATCAGGTACTTTTTATTCTTAGTGACTTGATTATATGTATTATGTATATAAAGTTTATATTTTATAAAACTGTTAAAGTGAAATTGTTCATTTTTTTCAGCCTAATAGCTAAGAGAATAGACTTGTCTTAAATGAAAATACTATATACATCCCAGTAATGTATCTTAGAAGTTTGCTATTATTTTCATTGGAGGCTGACATTGCTTGCTTTTTATAACCTTTCCTTCTAGAAATAGTGTAAGAAACTTTGTATAGTATGTAGTCAAAACTTCTACAAGTAAGAATTTCTGTATGGGCTTAGAAGTATCCTTTGGGGGCTAGGATGGTGGCTCACGCCTATAATGTTAGCACTTTGGGAGGCTGAGGCAGATTGATCACATGAGGCCAGGAGTTCAAGGCGAGCCGGGCCAACATGGTGAAACCCCATCTCTACTAAAAATACAAAAATTAGCTGGGCATGGTGGTACACACCTGTAATCCCAACTACTCAGGTGGCTGAGGCATGAGAATCACTTGAACCCAGGAGCAGAGGTTACAGTGAGCCTCGCATCACTGCACTCCAGCCTGGGCAACAGAGCAAGACTCTGTCACACACACACACACACACACACACACACACACACACACACACACAATTACCTTTGGTCCAATAATAGTAATTTTTATTGTATTTTTATTTCAGTAGATACTGTTAAAGGACTCCCCAGAAAGGTCATCTAATACACTTGTCAACTCTTGATATTAATGATCTACTTAATTTTTGTCATTCTGCTAGAATGTGGCATCTTATGGTTATTGTATTCCCATATTTGTTATCCATTCAAATTTTGTTTCTTTCTTTTTCTCTGAATTCTCTGTTAATAGCCTTGACCAACTTTTCTGTTGGGTTAAGTTTCTTGGTTGTTTCTACTGTAAATTGGCTTCTGCCACTGAAGCTAATCTAGTCACCAGTGTTTTCTCATTGCCAAAATCAGTATACTTAATGTGCCTAATCTTTTCTCCTTTGAATCCATCCCTTTCATTGCCATTCATAACAACTCTTAACTACTGATTTTCTTCTACTTCTCAGGCTACGTTTCCTTTAGTGGCTTTTCTGTTCCACCCCTATCAACTCTCCCTTCTTCACAATATGTCCTGTGGTCTTCTTTATGATCATAGTTTTGATTTCTGTTGGAGACATCTCTAATACTACTGTGTCTGTGCTACCTTCGCAATTGAAGGAAAGACTGAATCTTGGTTAGAGGTTAGTGAAAATAAAGATGTATTTTTTTCCCATTGAGGTTCACCGACTCTGAATTGTATCTATCTTCATGAGTCTTTAGAGCCCAGAATAAATACCCTTGCAAGACCCCCATTTTCTACCACTTACTGGTTGTTGCCACCCGCATGTCTCCTCACCATTGCAGTCATCATAATTATGTTTGCTTGAACACCAGCTATGTACTAGGCACAATCCTAGGTACTTTATGTACATTGTTTTCTTGAGACCTACTGTCTCCATTCTAGAGATACGGAAACATTTGGCTTAAGATTATTCTTGCCCAAAATCATAAAGCTAATAAGTGTGGAAGCTGAATCCAAACTCACATTGACTCTTGACTCAAGAGCCTGTGTTCTTAATTATTATGCCATAATGTTTTCTTTTATCCCACTGTTTTCCCCACCATGCACCACCAAATTCAATTCCTTGCTTGGCAGCACCGCCTTCCGTGGAAACCAAAAAAACTGAGAATCATCGTAGATTCTTCCATTACGTACAATCCATCACCAAGTTTTTCAGTTTATTCTCCTAAAGGTTTCTCAAGTCATTGCTCTACCTCCTCCCCACAGTAAGACTGCCACTGCCAGATCCTTAGTTTAAGTTTTCCTTCATCATCTCTTGGATGCATTTCTCTGTTAGTTGCCTAATTATTCTGCTTCTATTTTTGTGTTCCTTTTATCCACACCACTCTCCAAATAAACATTCTCATTTAAAAGTCTAATTTTCAAATTTCCTGTTGAAAATCTCTTAGTAACTCTACATCATCAGAAAGGTAAAATCTAATTCCTTATGCTGACACAAAAGTTCTTTTAATAAATGGTTATATCCAGCCTTTTCTCTTACTACTTTTCAATAATTTGTGTTTTAATTACACCTTAGTGACCTTTACCCCTGTACTCTTGCACCTGCTATTCTCTTTATCCAGAATCTCTTCCTTACCTACTTGGCAAACTTTTTCTTCAACCACAGACTCAATTCAAGTATTATCTCTGTAAAGCATTTCTAATTCCCTACTCCCTCCTTCTCATGTGATACTAAATTCATTCCCCCTGAATTTTAGATGTCTCCACTATAAAATAGTATTAACAACATCTATCCTATAGGGGTTGTTAGGAAAAATCAAAAGAAATAACAAATGTAAAATAACTAGTACAGTGTCTTCACATAGTAGCTACTCAAATATTGGTTATTTTGTCTTCCTCCTTCATGTGTTCCTGTGAATAATAAAGCTGTAATTGTATATCTGCATCTTATCCTGAACTTTAAGATCCTCGGGATTGGAGGTTTGTTTTTCTTTTATAATCAATGCCTGTTTCAGTACCTAATCTGTATTAGCTATTCCATGAATTCTTTTGGAAGAATCTAATTTTATGACTAGATTTTCAGTAACTTGCCTAGTAGAATGAAATAAATTGCTCTTATTAGTAATTCCTGCTTGTTTGTTTGTTTCCTTTCTTTAGTGGTGATGAGTTCCTCAACTTTCTTCTCAAATTAAATAAACAGTGTGGCCATTTAATAACAGCTGTACAGAATGTTATTACTGAGTTACCTGTAAATTCTCAAAAGGTATTCTACAAAAGTTATTAAGTGAAGAAAAGTATGAACACTGAAGAACATTCCAGATAAGTTCATGATAATTCAATAAATAGTATTGATTTGCTGAAATTACATCGTTTGTTCTGCAAAATCACATAAGATCTAAATAAGTCAATTTGTTTAATATTACTCCTTTACATACTGATTTTAAAACTTTGTATTCTTGCCTTCAAGAAAAAGAAAATGAGTCAGACCAAAAATTAAACTGATCCGTGTATTGAATTTACCATGTGTTCTTTTTTAAAATATAAAGTGACAGGAGACCCAAGTGAAAATGGAAATAAAACAGTGTGTTATTTAAAAACCATATCAATAAAATATTTTTAAATAAATTTAGAATAGGAAGAGTGTAAGTGGCTGGGCATAGTGGCTCACATCCGTAATCCCAACACTTTGGGAGGCCCACGTGGGAGAATTGCTTGAGGCCAGGAGTTTGAGACCAGCCTGAGCAGCATGGTGAGACCCTGTCTCTACAAAGAATTTTTAAAAATTAGCTGCGCATGATGGCATGTGCCTCTAGTCCTAGCTGAAAATTAGCTGGGCATGATGGCATGCACCTGTGGTCCTAGCTATTCAGGAGGCTGAGGCAGGAGGATCACTTGAGCCCAAGAGGTTGAGGCAGCAGTGAGCCATGATTGCACCACTGCACTCCAGCCTGGGCAACAGAACAAGACACTTTCTCAAAAAAAAGAAAGAAAAAGTGGAAGTGGCCTGCAAAAGCAGCTTATTTCATGTGATTAGGTTTTAGCTGTTTGTCTTAGTGAAAATTTTTTAATGCACTTGTTTTCCAGTGATTTTTATATAACATCAATTAATATGAGAATCATCATTTTTAAAACCTTCATGAACTGATTTGTTCATCATAAATGTTATTACTAATATTAATCTCCATATAGAAAGTTATATATACATATATTCAGGAAATGCATTTGGCAAGCTCATTTGATTATATTTTTATAAAATTACTTATTTTTGGTGTCAGTATTTATCCTAAACAAAAAAATGCCTTTCAATTATGTAATCTAATGTTTAAGAATGTTGTATAATCTTTGTGGATATAAAGTTGTAGAAAGTTATTTCCATTATTTAATGTTGAACTTTTGAAAATATTAACAGATAACACTGGAATGGGCTTCTCCCCAGAATTTTACTTCAGTTTGTGAAGAATTGGTTAATAATGTTGAAGATTTGAGTGAAAAGGTCTGCAAACTAAAAGACCTAATTCAAAAGGTATATATTTAACATTAAAAGGAGGGGAAAAATGAAGGGAAATGATTTACAGCAAAAGGTGTTAGACAATGAAGCAGTTCTGGTAAGAGCAACAAATGGAACACTTAGACAAGTGGGAAAAAGGACAGTTTCCAAAGGAAGAAATATACACAGGAAACAGACTTTGTTGGCCATTAAGCAAATGCGTACTAAAAGAAGAATATGTCATTTTTATCTTTTCAATTAGCAGGGAAAAATGTATCACTACCAATTTCTACTTAGAGTTCACCAAACTGATATTCTTATGTGAGAACACAAGCCCTTTCAAAAACAGTTTGGCAGGATGTGCCAAATACTATTAAATATTTGTATCTTTTGATAGTATTTTATCCCAAATTATATGTACCATAAGTATTCTATACTAGGAGAACAACTTAATAAATTATGCTATACCAATTGTTATAATAGGCAGTTGAAAAAATAATGAAAATTAAATATCAGCTAAAGATATGAAATTATATTTGTACGTTATTACTTACATGTAAATGTACAGATAAAATAAATGAAGTATTTATTGGTTCTGTTAAAGAGACACGATTGTGGATGAAATACCCCTGTAATTGTCCAGACTCTCTGTAATATTTTTATAATTTAACTGTTTTCTAAAGAGTATGGACTTCTTTGGTTCTGGTTTTTTACAATATAGAAAAAATATATAATATATATCTGTATTTAAGGACAGGTGATTTTTCCACTTTAAAAAAAATTGGCTATAACAAAATCTAAGCTGTTGGAATGGGAACCTTTGTTGGAGATGGATAATAAAGAAAAACACTTCCAGTCGACTAAAGAGCTCACTTCCGAGCTCTTTATCTGTTTAATACATAAATTTGATGTCTATAAAGCTTTTGTGAAATATCTGATTTGAAGGATAGATTATACATTATTTATACAGCTTCAACCCATAATTCATTTAACATTTTCATTAATATTTTATCAAAAAAGTTCTTTTCTTCAAAATAGATTGTATACATGTTCCAAGTATTAATAAATTGTCATTCTAGCTATTAATGTGTTAAATCAAAAGGAGTCTTTTTTTTTTCTTTTTTGATACTGAGTCTCACTCCATTGCCCAGGCTGGAGTGCAGTGGTGCAATCTTGGCTCACTGCAACCTCCGCCTTCCAGATTCAAGCAATTCTCCTGCCTCAGCCTCCTGAGTAGCTGGGACTACAGGCATGCACCACCACACCCAGCTAATTTTTGTATTTTTAGTAGAGATGAGGTTTCACCATGTTGGCCAGACTGGTCTCAAACTCCTGATGTCAAGTGATCCACTTGCCTCGGCCTCCGAGTGTGCTGAGATTACTGGTGTGCGCCATTGCGCCTGGCCCAAAAGGAGTCTTTTAAAGTGAGAAGAAAGTTGTGAAGCAAATTCTATTATACAAAATAATAGCTGGGAAAGAACATTTTAAATGAGGAAATGAGCACTATGTTTCAGAATTCTTGTAGAAAATAATTTATTTCCAAAGAAAAAAGGCATCTTAGAAATTGTATTGTCTCTGACATTTATTCATTCAACAAACATAAGACTGCCTGCTATATGTCAGGCACCTGTGCTACACAAGCTACATCCTGAACTTGCTGATGACCCAAAAATTATATCTCATCTAGAAGAATCAAAGGAAAGGAACTGATCCTACTTAAACATGCCATTTTTCATGGGTATCCCAGGGAAGTTTAGAAGCATATGTATAAAGATACTTCTTGCAAAACATCAGCCTTTAATGTTTAGTGTAGGAAATTTCCTAAAAGCTATTTGCTTCAGGGTTATTTACTAATTTGGTTTCTCCAAGATGAACTAAAAACATGGGGGTGAGGGGTAAGGGTGTGTGTATAGAATTAAAATGAAATTAGAAAACCATATTTTTGTTAAATGAGTGAAATTAAGAAACTTTGCTATAGAAACTGACTCTAAAGTATACACAATTCAATCAGGTACCATATTTATTTTAATAATGCATACCTGTTAAGAGAATTTTCATTGTTCTTTGGCTAAATAGAAGACCTTTTTCCCGTGACCCTTCTCTATTTAGAATTTATGCATTTCTATATAAGAACTACCCTTGAAAACATGTATTAGTTTATAATAATGGCAAATACAGTTCTTTGGGCAAGAAAGTCTTAAATTTTGGAGCAAGCTAGTGGGTTGGTTTTTTCAGATTAGTCTTGTACAAGTAGTAATCATCATAATGAGATTTGATTTAGGGAATTATGAAGGCTTCCAGATTTGGAAATATGCTATCATGCCTGTTAAGCTTATATTATTTCAGAGTTTACCAATAATAATTGAAGGGATTTTTTTTTAAGAAACATAAGTTATCACAGATAAGTGTATGGAGGTAACAGAGAGAGGGTGGGAGAGGTCAAGGCTAGACTTTAACACCACATCACTCTCTTTCAAGCCAACACACTGACAGGCTCCTGTCAGAAAGGGTCATTCTAAGTAATTGATTAATAAAAGGAATGACTGTCTCAGGATTCAGTAAATGGAGCATCAGTGTCAAAAAGGAATCTGTTGCTGAATGAAGCCATTTGGAAGTCAGACCAAGAATATGGTATTAATGAGATTGGCATTGGAGTCTGGTTTTCTGCTATAAATTTAAAATTAATTTTGCAAGCTTTTTAATTAAATATTTACACTGTAGAATTTGGAAGTCATTATTCCTGCTGATGTTGAAAGTATTTATGTCATCACTCCAGCACAGGATGTTTCTAGTAAATATCACTCTATAAATGTGCCTGATTCTTTTTATCTTTCAAGGATCTTTGGTTTCTGCTTATTTTCTCTCCTGCCCCACCCCCAAAAGCCATCCCTCTCCTCTCAGCCCTCCCTCTTTAAGTCTTTTCTCTCTCTCTCACTTCCCCCTTCTCTCTCTCTCTCTCTCTCTCTCTGTCTCTCTGTCTCTCACAGAAACACACACACACAGATACACACAGAGTGGGCACACACACACAGTAGGTAGGGGAGAAGGGAGCTTCTTAAGCAAGAAATTTGCATCTGGGAAGTTAGAAACTGACTGGGTACTGTACTTTCATTGCTGAGAATTACTAAAAGAACCACTTAAGTTTTTGTTGACATTTGTTACTGCAATTCTATTTAAATAAATTAAGTTTCTACCAGTAGCATCTGATCTTCTCGTTTTTGCTAAATTTCATGTTTTAGGTTTGCTATAATAATGATTCACTTTTTTGTAAGACGTTAATTGATATTTAATGCACAAGCAAATCAATATCAATTGTCATTCCTTATAAGTAAAACAGAAACTTTAAATTTAAAGTTACTTTGTCTCGTGACATTAAAAACACCATTTTAAAATGTGATCATCTATGAAAGCATGTATTTTTAATGTAAAACTAATGATTTACAGTAATGGGATTCTAATGAAAGACTGTCTTTCAGACATATATGTTTACTTTAAATCTTCCATGGGAATCTTGAGTTGCCTACATCTAAATCAAGTGAAATGAATTAACATGGATATTATGATATTTTTTAAAATCAAAATGTTTTATTAATGTATTGTACAGTAACTCCTCTTTTCTTTTTCCATACTAAATATTAGTTGCAAAATGAACGGGAAAATGATCCAACTCATATACAATTAAGGGAAGAAGTATCTACATGGAATAGTAGAATTTTGAAGAGGACAGCTATTACCATATGCGGATTCGGTTTTCTTCTTTTCATTTGCAAGCTAACTTTCCAGAGGAAATAATCCAAATATTTGTTTTAAGTTATATATACACATCTTATTGAACCATCCAAAAATCATTGCTTTTAACTGTTTGCAGCACAATATAACTTTACATTCTTTGCCAATATTCCATAGGAAAAATTTTGACAATGTGGAGTTTTTTTTTAAAAAGTGGTTTGTTACTTTGACTTATAAATACAATTTGTTATGTTTATGTTAATTGTGATTAGGTAGTAAAGTATAAGTAATTTTTTGGTTTGATCGTATCTAAATCACATTCAAAATTAAAGTTATATCTAATATCTTTGACATTTTTTAAAGTGTGTTCATTTGTCAGTGAATCGTACAGGATTTGTAAAGTGTTCATAAATTGAGCTTTCTTTTGTTTCTTTTTTCCCCCTCCATTATTACATAATATGGATTTTTATTGGATTTTTTTGTTATATTACATTATGAGGAAATTATTAATTTTGAAAGTATCTGAGAGAATACAAAGGATAAAGGTAAAATGTTAAAGTTTTGAATTGTGGATTAAATCCTTAGGAAAAGTATTTTAAATACAAATTAAAACAGCAAAAAATTAGAGACTGGTGTTGAAAGTACAAAGTACATTGGAATTTTTTATGTAAAATACTTTGGGGAACATACATACTATATAACATTCTTAGGAATATTATAAAAGTGAATGGCATTTGACATATTATTTATCATATCTAAAGTAAGATTTATTTTTCAAAATCAAACTAATGATTTTCAGATTTTTAAAGTGAAGTTAATAAAATGGCAGGCCCAATTTAGCAGAGAATATAGTACTTAAATCTTGCCTGACTTAGTGCCATACTTAAACAGATGCAGTTGATCTACAGTTGTTTGAGAAGTAAACAAAGCACAGATAAAGAATTGTGGAAAGGAAGAACATTATAAGGATCTATAATTAGTAGCAGTTTCTGCTCTTGCTTATACCAAAACTACAAGATTTCAATCATTCTTTTCTTGAGAATTGGCCATATTTTAACCTAACTGCTAAATAGCAAGGCATATTTTTTTGCTGATATTTCCTCATTTAAATGAGTCTTAGAAGTTCTAAAGGTACTTCTTTTAACACATACAGTGTTTCACTCCCAGTCAGCACAGTGCTTGGGTAAATAGAAAACATTTAATAAATCTTAGTTTTAGTTTCCTTTTTAAAAAAAAAAAAATTTTAAAAAGCACTCTCAGAAAATGACATACTATCAGATTATCTATTTATGATTGTCTTTTTCACCTCAGTTCATCTTAAAGATAATGATATTTCTTCTATTGGCTGGGTAGGTCACTATTTTTTTTCTTCTGACAAAACCAAACCATCTCGCAAATATTAGGACAAACTGTGAAGATGTGAATTTATAAAATATTTGCTTTCCAAAAGGATTTGTCACAGAAGTCCATAAAATGGTGATTTTTCATTTCCATGACACAGTGTGATTTTTAGATTACAGATTGAGAATAAGTACAGCAGCATTGTTGTGATTAGTGAAGTTATTTCTATGGGTAAAGTATCAATAGAATTATTATTTTTCTTGTAATTTAAAATTGGTTATTTCATCTAGAGCATAAGTCTCTTCCTACTCTGATTATTTCACCTGATTACAGTGCTTTTTGCGGGAAGGGAGGCATTTATTGCTTCTGGAATATCCATTCTTTTGTAACACATAACTCAGTATAAATCATTTTTCTTCTCTTCTTCAAACAAGAAGAGGATTTAAAGTAAGTCTCCCTTAGAGACTTCCCTGAACCACAGATACAAATGTTGTCAACTGAGTTTTAATTCTATGCACTTGAAAGTAGTAAACCTTTTTTAAAATTAGTTGGTATTTAATTTTTAATTAATCTGAATTAGAAAATGGTCCTATATCTTTAGAACCAACTCTGGAACACAAATAATCTATTTTGAGGATGTAAGTATCTTTCAAAGAGAAGCATGCTTACTTGTCCCATCTTGCCACTATCCTTAAGTGATGTGTTTAGTGCTCTTTGTCAGTCTTAGTACATTTCTCTGATACACTTACTACATTTCTCTGATACATTCAGTAACCTTTTTACCAGATAACTATTTCGCGCTGCTCTTTCCTCAAACTTCTGAGACCTCCACATCTCATTCTTAAAATGATGGCTATGCTTCTTATTTCCCTGGGAAATAGAATCATTTTTTAAAAAGAACTTGCATACTGGGTTTCCTCTAGTTAAGAGGTCAGCAAACATTTTTTTTGTAAAGGTCCAGATAGTAAATATTTTAGACTTTGCAGGACATGTGGTCTCTGTCAACATTTCTTAACTCTGCTGTTATAGCACAAAAGCAGCTATATACAGTACATAAATGAATGAATGTGGCTTTGGTACAATAGAACTTTATTTACAAAAACAGGTGTTGCCTGGATTTGGCCCACCAACCTATAGTTTACAGACCTCAGTCTAATGTCACAGAGTTACAAATGTGAGGCTCTTTTAATCCTGATAATCTAGGCAGAGATTTATTAATTTTGTTAATATTTTCAAATAATCAGCTTTTGCGTTTATTGGTCAACTACATTTTAAAAATTTTATTTCATTTTCACCTTTATTATTTCCTATCTTAATTGTTTGGGTTCTTTTTTTTTTTACTCAGTTATTTTAAACACACTTGAAATATTTTTTGCTTTCTGAGAAAAGAATTAAAAGCCCCGTATTCTGCGTACTGTAGTTTCACAGTTCATTTTAAAATACATCTATTTTTCCCTATTGGGTTATTACAGTATTTATATATTGACATTTATTTCATAAATTATTTTTTCCAAATTGCTTTTGAAAAAAAAACTGCATTGTGACTTCCAACTTACATTTCTGCAACTTTTTCTTTTGAAAAAAAAAGTATTGCTCAAAAATAAACTGATTATACTGTAAAGAACTATTATGGTTTCTTAGGCTCAGGACAGAGATGGACAGATTACCATTTGAATGCCTAATATATGGCAAACACTTCATAAATGTTACATTTAATTCATAGGCCAGGGCCATGAGATATATATTCCTATTTTACAGAAAATGAGTTTCAGAGACAGTTGAAGTAAATTGTTGAAATTCACACTGCTAATAAGAAAGCTGGGATTTTAATCCAATCAGTTTAACTTCAAGTCCCATGCTCTTTCCAGCACTCATGCATTCATTCACTCACATATTTACTGAGCACTTATGTGTCAGGCATTTTTTCTAGATGTTGGGAAATCAATTATCCCTGCCCTCATGGAACTTCTAATGGAAATAAACCAACAGATAAAGCATAAGATATTAGATGTGATAAGTGCTATGAAGACAAGACAAAAGGAAATAGGAAGTGCAGGGTAGAAGTAGTACTTTGAGTGGTCAGGGAAGATGTCTCAAACTTCAGAACGTTTGAGAACATAAAGGATTAGAGAGTAAGCCATACAGATATCTGGGGGTAAACTATTCCAGAACAAAATCCATGAGGTACAAATATCACTATAGCAATAAAGTGTGGTTTTTTTTATTTTTATTTTTTGAGATGGAGTCTTGCTGTGTCACCCAGGCTGGAGTGCAGTGGCATGATCTCGGCTCACTGAAACCTCTGCCTCCTGGGTTCAGCAATTCTGCCGCAGCCTCCCAAGTAGCTGGGATTGCAGGTGCCTGCCACCACACCTGGCTAATTTTTTTTCGCATTTTTAGTAGAGACGGGGTTTCACCATATTGACCAGGCTGGTCTTGAACTCCTGACCTTGTGATCCGCCCGCCTCAGCCTCCCAAAGTGCTGGGATTACAGGCGTGAGCCACTGCACCCGGCCTGTACTGTTATTTTTAAATGGACTAGAGGCACCAGTGTGGATGCTGTGAGACTAGTTAGGAGGCTGCTGCAATATTCCAGGTGCAAGATGATGGTAGCTTGAATTAACATTGGAAAATGAAAGCAGTTGAGTTCAAGACACATTTTTAAGATATAACCAATAGGATTTACTTAACAGGTTGAGTGTGAGTTCTAAGTGAAAAGCAATAGTCAAAGATAACTTTAAGTTTTTTGGCTTGAGCAACCAGAAGAATGGAGTTGCCATTTACCGAAAGAAGGAAGTCTCTGAGAAGACAAAAACAATTAGGAGAGATGAGAAGGGAGTAATTTCTAATAATCAGAGTATTTTAGTCAGAAATTCAGAGGAGAGAGACACAGGCAGAAGTTAAAAATTTGGATGTTGTCACTTTAGAGATAAGAAGACCTGACTGGATCCCTAAGGGAATAATGTAGACAAAGAAGAAGGGTAGGTCCTAGGATACCAAAATTCAAAGGAAGGGAGACAGGAAGAATCAGGAAAGGAAATTAAAGAGTGGCCAGTGAGGCTAGGCAAGAGCATACACAGGTCAGCATCCTTCAACCCATGGGCCAAATTTGGCCCAGAGGATGGTCAACAGCATTAGTCAGTAGGGAAATGTAAATTAAAACCACCATGAAATATACCATTACACACTCATCAAAAAGACTAAAATTTAAAAAGAATGACACCAAGTGGTAGTAGGGATAAAGTACTTGAAACTCATACATTACTAGTTTAAACCACAGAGTGGAAAAACCATTTTGGAAAACCATTTGGCAGTATCTATTAAAACTAAACATGTTTTCTTGATGACCCAGCAGTTCTTCTGAATATATGCCCTAGAGAAATGAGTTCACACTTCCCCAGAAAGACATGTACAGGAATGTTCACAGTAGGTTTATTAATAGCCCAAAACTGCAACAGATAAATAACACAATAGTTGGACAATGGAATACTGCATAGTAATAAAAAAGAACAAACTATGACTACACACAAAAACATGGGCAAAACGGACAGATATAATACTGAGCAAAAGAAGCCAAACACAAAATTTTGTACATACCATATTATGAATTTATACATAAGTTCAAAATAGGGAAAACTTATTTATGGCAAAACTTATAGAAGTGATGGTAGTGGCTAGGTCTGAGAAGTAGGTATTGACTGGGAAAGAATAAAGGATACTGGAAATATTTTATCCTGATCTGGCCAGGAGTTGCTTGAGTATATACATAAAAATTCAATGATATGTACAATTTCAAGCCCCAAAATTCCAAGATTTCAAGAGGTAAAAAATTGGCATATTAACAAAAATGGATTATGAAAAAACCAACTATAAAATGCCTACTCTACAACCTAAGTTTGAAAACAAGTTTAATTGTAGATATTGAAAAAAAAAAAACTGCTGAATTTAAAGAGAAATTAAGAGAGTTTTAAAATCTGGTATTAGTAAGGATAGTTTTCATGTAAGATAGTAAATTTGGAATTAGAAGACCATTAATATGATCAAGTTTATCACATTTTTGATAAACAGCAAACATAAGGTTATAAAGTGTAAGAATGAATACTTTATAAATATTTGCAAATTAAAATATTTAAAAATAGTAAATGCAGTCCTGCATCACTTAAAGACGGGGATACATTCTGAGAATCCATCGTTAGGCAATTCTGTCATTGTGCAAACATCATAGAGTGTATTTAAACAAACCTAGAGGTATAGCCTGCTACACATCTAGACTTTATGGTACTCCTAGACTACCCTGTACAGCATGTTACTGTACTGAATATTTTGGGCAAGTAAGACAATGGTATTTGTATCAAAACATATCTAAACATACAAAAGGTACAGTAAAAATACAATATAAAAGGTAAAAATGGTACACCTGTATAGGACACTTACCATGAATGAAGCTTGCAGGACTGGAAGTTGCTCTGGGTGAATCAGTGAGTAAGTGGCTAGTAAATATGAAAGCCTAAGACATTGCTGTATACTACTGTAGACATTATAAACACTGTGCACTTAGGCTACACTAAATTTATTTTTAAATACTTTCCTTCAATAATAAATTAACCTTAGCTTACTGTAACATTTTTACTTTATAAACTTCTTAATTTTTAAAAACAGGTTCTTTTGTAAAACATTTAACTTAAAACACAAAACGTATTGTACAATTGTACAAAAGTATTTTCTTTATATCCTTATTCTATGAGCTTGTCTCTATTTTTAAAAGTATTCATTCGTTTTTTTAATTTTTAAACTTCTTTGTTAAAACCTAAGACACAAACATACACACATTAGTCTAGGCCTACACAAAGTCAGGACCATCAATATCACTGTCTTCTACCTCCACATTTTGTCCCACTGGAAGGTCTTCAAGGGTAATTACATGCATACAGCTGTCATCTGTAATAATAGTGCCTTCTGAAATAATTCCTGAAGGATCTGCCTGAGCTATTCTACAGTTATTTTTTAATAAGTAAAAGGAATACACTTAAATAATGATTTAAAAGTTTAGTAAATACATAAACCATTAACATAGTTTATTATTATCAAGTATTATGTCCTGTATATAATGTATGTGCTAGACTTTTATGTGACTGGCAGCATAGTAGGTTTGTTTACACCATCACCACCACAAACACGTGAGTAATGCATTGCACTAGAGTGTTACAATGGCCATGATTCCACTAGGCAATAAGAATTTTTCAGTTCCATTATAATGTTATGGGACCACCATCAGATATTCCTGCATCATTGACTGAAACATCACATTTCATAGTGCAGTGTGCCATGTGACTACACTATAAAACTGTACACTTGGCTGGGTCGTGGCTCACGCCTGTAATCCCAGCACTTTGGGATGCCAAGGCAGACGGATCACTTGAGGTCAGGAGTTTGAGACCAACCTGGGCAGCATGGTGAAACCATCTCTACTAAAAATACAAAAATTAGCCAGGCATGGTGGTGCGCACCTGTAATCCTAGCTACTCAGGAGGCTGAGGCAGGAGAATCGCTTGAATTTAGGAGGCAGAGGTTGCAGTGAGCTGAGATTGCACCACGGCACTCCAGCCCGGGCAACAGAGTGAGACCCTGTCTTAAAAAAAAAAAAATGTACACTTGATCTTGTATTTGTTCACATTTAATGTTTTGTTTTAAAAGCTTTCTTGAGATAATTCATTCATTGAAAGCATACAATTCAATGGATTCTGGTCTATTACAGTTTTCTATCCATAACCAAAATCAATTTTAAAACATTTTCAGTACCCCAAAAAGAAACCCCTTACTCCCTGTCCATCATCCCCAATCCCACCCAGCCCTAGGAAACCACTAATCTACTTTCTGTTTATGGATTTTTCATTTCCGGCCATTTCATATAAATGGAATCATACAATATGTGGTCCTTTGTGACTGACTTTTTTCACTGAGTATAATGTTTTCAAACTTCATCACTGTTTTAGTATGTATCAGTACTTCATTAATTTTTATGCTGAGTATTTCATTGTATGCATATATTACATTTATCCATTCATCAATTGATGAACATTTGGGTTGTTTTCCATTCTGGGCTGTGAGCATGTTTTCATTTCTCTTAGATATATACCTAGGAGTAGAATTGCGAGCTCATATGATGACTCTATAAGACCATTTGAGAAACTGCAGACCTTTTCCAAAGTAGCTGCACCATTTTACATTTTTTACCTACTGTGTGTGAGGGTTCTAATTTTTCCACATCCTTGCCATTTATCTGTCTTTCTTATTATTTCCATCCTAGTGGATGTGAAGTGTTCTCTCACTGTGGTTTTGATTTGCATTTTTCTGGTGGCTAATGAGCATTTTTTCCTGTGCATATTGGCCACTTGTATATCTTTTTTGGAGAAATGTTGATTCAAGTCCTATGCCCATTTTTTAGTTGCGTTGTCTTATTTAGTTATAAGTGTTCTTTATTCTGGATACTAGACCCTGATAAGATATATGATTTGCAAATATTTTCTCCCATTCTGTAGGCTTTCCTTTCACTTTCTTAATAATGTCTTTTGATGAGAAATTATTTTCATTGGATGATATCTCATTTGTTTTCTCCTGTTGTTTGAGCTTTTCATGTCATATGTTAGAATCCACTGCCAGATCTAAGACCTTGAAGATTTATATGTGTTGTCTTCTAGGATTTTTATAGTTTTAGCTCTTATATTTAGATCACTGATCCATTTAGAGTTAATTTTTAAATATGGTATGAAGAAGAGGTTCAACTTCATTCTTTGGCATGTGGATATTCAGCTGTCCCAGCATCATTTGTTGCAGAGACTGTACTTTTCCCCATTGAATTGTCTTGGCACCCTTCACTGAAGATTAGTTGACATTACATAAATGTGGGATTTTGATAGAGAGTGCTTTGAATTTGTAGATCAATTTGGGGAGCACTGCCATCTTAATATTAAATCATCTGATCCATGAACATGGATGTCTGTCCATTTATTTAGATCTTTAATTTCTTTCAGCAATGTTTTATAGTTTCCAGAGT